>NC_000003.12:165826786-165978301 GCF_000001405.40 Homo sapiens | reverse complement strand
CAGATACAGGGATATTTTTATAAATAGTTGAATTGGTACTCAATGAACAATTCAGAACAGTAGCATATTAGCTACTAATCAGTAAATACTCAAATTTTCTTCTCTTCACGTTCTGAAGAAATATTTACTGGAAAAGTGTTTTAGGTATAAATAGGTTATCTATCTATCTAGCCTTGAATCAAACTGTACAATCAGAAGGTGACATATTTGACGCACAATTTTGTCTGCTTGAAATTGTCTTTAACTGCAGTTGTATTTTTAGCAAAATATACTGAAAAGCAGATCTTAACCCAGATTCCATGAAGATATCCCAGATCCATAAACATCAAATTTTTTTTATGTTCACTGAGTGGAGTGAAACTTACCCAAATTCGGTTTGAGAAAAAAAATCATAGAGGAGCAATTTCATAAAATGTGAAAAACTTTAAGGAAAACTAACATATGTTGAAAACTGACTATGTGCTATATACTCTGTCAAGTTATTTTCATATGCTATTTATTTTGTTTATTCATTTTTTGAAGATACAAGCTCAGAAAAATTATGTAAATTTTTCAAGGTCACATGGTATTTGAGTCAAATATTGAACCATGACATAAAACTGCATCCATCTTACCCCAGGGACAAATCTCTCACCTATTATATTACATTAGTTGTCATATTGAGAATGTGTTTTTACAAACTAAATATCTACATAGGCACTATCCTAGTGAACTCAGCAGCACTGCATATGAAATTAGAAGATTCTCTTAATGTGTTTCTCTTCTGTTTCATCATCATTACCAATTAGGATTCTAAGTGAAGAGAGAGGCAAGAGGAAGAAATGACATGTCACTCTTCACAAATCTAAGGAGGCTCCAGGTCAGTTATTAGATATTCCACATGGGAAATTAACTCAGAGATGGTTATCTGGAAAAATAAAAAGGCTCAGAAAATAATTGTTCCAGAATAGCAACTTAATAATTTCTTTAACTTATGTATCAATTTTACTTCTGCCAAGTCCACATCATAGGCCCCAGAGAAATAACATATAGTCTCACACACAGACACGTGCGCACACACACACACACACACACACACAAAATGTTGGGCCAAGATCAATTTGGTTGACATAAATTTTGCCTAAACATAATTATCCTTATAACAATAGCTAATAGTTATTGAAGACCCACTTACCATGTGCCAACTGTTCATGTATTGGCTCCAGGTCTTCACAATAACTCAGGAAGGTACTAATGGTGGGAGAGTAGCAGTAGAAGCACAGACAAGAAAGAAGTGACTTGCCAGCTGAGAACACAGGAGGAATAGTAAAACCAACTAAAATGTGGTTTGTATATTATCATCATTACATATTTGCAATTCTACATCATATCAAGAAGGAAATATTTCTCTCTGCAGAAGAAAACTTTCTACTGCCACCCAACTCATCTTAAATATGCTTCATCTTAAAAATAAACTTGTATTTAGAATGTTTCGTAACCCATATAAAATACCTATATGATAAATAAACACAATATTTGACGCCTCCCAGAAAACTTTAATTAAAATGTAATTGCAATATTTATGCATCATGGAGGAATTCTCCAAATGTTTATATATCGCTAAAGAATTTTACTATGTTTTACAAATTATTTCCAGAGGTTTTGCTTTTTTCCATTTAAAATATTTCTACTTCTTATCCATTTTCTGTCAATTATTATGATCTGAATTTTTTGTAATTATCAGAAGGGATGTTTAGTGGTATCTTCTCAACAATTTAAAAAATGTAAAAATTAACTTAGATACAGTCATGCAAATGGAATGGTGGCCAGAAACCCATGAGTCTGTTGAGAAAATTCAGGGAAGTTAATTCTCAATTCCAAAAGAGATAAACAGATATATTGTGTACAAAGCATATGCACAAATTTATCCTTTTCTTCCAGATATTGTTGTGTCTGTGTATGCATGGAACTGCCGTAGCTAACTTATAACCATGAGAGTCAGCCTGAGGGAAAAATATCACTCATTTATTCATTCTTTCCTTCAATAATAACCATTACCTGCCAAGCATTCTTCTCCATACTGGAGATGCTAAAAACAAAAAGCTATGGCTTTTGGGATCTTACATTAAAAATATGGAATGTGATCAATAATTTTAAAATTGTTTAAGAAGAAAATTAAATATGTTTTATTTAATTTTGAGACTAAAGATAAAGAAAATATGGGGAAAAAGAAAATGTTGGTTAGGGTAGGAGTTCTGATTTCAGGCATAGTTGCTGCTAATGAGCTTATAGAAAAGCAACATCAAAAACAAATGTGCAAGTTTGTTATGGGACTGAAAGGAAGAGCATTCTACAAAGAAAAAAACAATCAATTTTGAGCCTTGACATAGGATGTGCTGCAATGTTCAACTGAGAAGAAAGAGCTTAACATGCTTAAAATTGGATGAGGTAGATACTGACCATTTTAAGGATGATGCCTATATCTTTATTAAAATGTAAAGCTGCTTAAGAAGTTTGATCTCAAGATACAGATGCTCTTGCTTGTTTTTAACGTGGTCACTGAATGGTTTTTGTTGAGTATAGCATCTAGATTTTAGGAGATTTACATTTAACTGAAGATGGTATTTAAAACCTCATCATTATGTGAACTAATGTAGATAGGTAAGAAGTACAATTACTGAGTGCTGGGGATCCCTCAACATTTTTAGGTCATTGAGATGATAAACATCCTTTACAATTTACTTAGAAAGAGTAGTCAGAGAATTAGGAAGAGGACAGGGAAAGTGTGGTGCCCTGGAAGCCAAAAGTGGGAAAAGTTTCAAGGAAGATACTGAGAAAGCCAAGCATAAAGGGGTCACCAAAGACCCTCCAACCAGCCTGCGCACTGGTAGGAGTGTGTGCTGGCGTGGAGCCTTGGGAAGTTTGTGCCATTTGCAGCAGGGAGGAGCCCGATGGCTCCTGTTCCAGGGGGGTAACTGGGATTCTATCTGTGAGTCAGGAAGCCTACTAGCAGAACTCTCGCTTTGCTGCTAGTTCTTGTTTTCCTATTTTTTTTCCCTTTACACCCAATAAAACCTGTCCTTCTCATTCTTCAAAGTGTCTGCAAGCCTAATCTTTCATGGTCGTATGACAAGAACCCAGCTTTTAGCTGAACTAAGGAGAAAGCCCAACAGTACCAGGATTATCAGTGTCACATGTGACTGATAGATCAAGTAAATTAGAATTGAACATTGATCTTTGGATTTGACAGTGTGTAGGACATTGCTGAAATAATAATAAGAGCATATTGATGGAGTGTGGGGTGAGAGAATTAGATCAGTGAATTCACTAAGCGAATTTAAAAGTAAATTGGAAGACAGTTTTTCAAGGTGAGTTACCATAAAAGGAAGGAGGAAAATTATATGGCTGTTGGAAAGACAAAAAGAGTCAAGAAGATGCTTTCTTGTTTGTTTGCTTGTTTTAAGATGAGAGAAATAAAAGCACGTTTGTATTCTGGTGAGAATTTGATAAATAAAAGGGAATGATAATTCAGTACATAATAATTAATAGAGTGATGACTTTAGATGATTGAAAGGATGGAATCTAGGGAGAATGAATGCATTACTGAACTAGAAAAAAATATAGTGTAAGTAACAGGTGGTGTTAAAGGGGATTCAGTTCCAATTAGTGATCATCAATTTGATTAGCAGCATGTCGGAATTGTTGAGTTATTTTTTCAGTCGAGATGAGCTATAGGTTTCAAATATGGTAGAGATAGAATCCAAAGTAGTGAGTGAGCCAAAAGAATATACGGAAATATTTTGAGATAGCTAATAGTGCCTGCAAAGGAGTGATTACAGTGTTTGATCACAGAACATAAACTGTACATGGCAAGATGTGAGGACATTAAGTATATTATAGCCAGTGAAAAGGTTATTAGGGAATGATATGTAATTTCTGGTGAGGCAAAGAGACTGTTTAAATAAGGTAATAGAGGAGTACACCAGAAAAATGGTAAAATCAGAGATGGAGAAATATGAAAATGAGGCTATGGAGTTATTGGAAAAGGTCATTAGTGAAATAGTTGTAAAACAACAATGAAAATAACGTAAAATAATCTGTGATTAGATAAAACAAAATACTTACATATTCATGGTAGGTGAATTGAAGGAAACTACAAGTCTAAAAATTGAAGAAATTAAAACTAAATGCCTGCTATTATGAGATAAATAGCAAGATCTCAAATTAAGACAAAAGATTCTTTTCTTGAAAAATCAGCTTTATATATTTTGATTTAACTTTTAAGTTCAGGGGTACACGTGCAGCTTTGTTTCATAGGTAAATGTGTCATGGAAGTTTGTTGCACAGATTATTTCATCATCCAGGTATTAAGCCTCGTGCCCATTAGTTATTTTTCCTGATCCTCTCCCACATCCCACCCTCCACCCTCAATTAAGCCCCAGTGTCTGTTATTTCCCTCTATGTGTCCATATATTCTCATCATTTAGCTCCCACTTATAAGTGAGAATATGCGATATTTGTTTTTCTATTCCTAACTTGTTGGCTGCATGTATGTCTTCTTTTGAAAAGTGTCTGTTCTTGTCCCTTGCCCACTTTTTAATGAAGTTTTTTTTTTTTCTTGTTAATTTGCTTGGGTTCCTCTCCCTTGTCCACTTTTTAATGAAGTGGCTTTTTTTTTTTTTTTCTTGTAAATTTGCTTAGGTTTCTTATAGATGCTGGATATTAGACCTTGGTCAGATGCAATGTTTACAAAAATTTTCTCTCATTTTGTAGGTTGTCCATTCATTCTGTTTCTAGTTTCCTTTGCTGTACAGAATCTCTTTAGTTTAATTAGATTGGTTTTGTCATTTTTTTAATTTTGTTCCAATCGCTTTTGGTGCCTTTGTCTATTCCTGTGAAATATTTGCCCATTCCAATGCCCAGAATTGTATTGCCTAGGTTGTCTTCCAGAGTTTTTATACTTTTGGGCTTTACATTTAAGTCTTTCATTCATCTTGAGTAAACTTTAGTATATGATGTAAGGAAGAGATCCAATTTCAATATTCTACATCTGGCTAGCCAGTTATTCCAGTACCAATTATTAAATAGGGAATTATTTTCCCATTGCTTGCTTTTGTCAGTTTTGTCAAAAATCAGATAGTCATAGATTTGTGACTTTATTTCTGGGTTCTCAGCCAAAAATGACAAGAGGGATATTACCACTGACAACACATGTATTAGTCCGTTCTTATGCTGCTAATAAAGACATACCTGAGGCAACTTATAAAGGAAAGAGGTTTAATTAACTCACAGATCAGCATGTCTGGGGAGGCCTCAGGAAACTTGCAATCATGGTGGAAAGGGAAGCAAACATGTCTTTCTTTACATGGTGGCAGGAAAGAGAATGAGAGTCGAGCAAAGGGGGAAGCCCCTTATAAAATTATCAGATCTTGTGAGAACTTATTCACTATCATGAGAATAGCAAGGGGCAAACCACTCCATGATTCAGTTACCTCCCACCAGGTCCATCCCACGACATGTAGAGATTATGGGAATAACAATTCAAGATGAGATTTAGGTAAGGACACAGCCCAACCATATTATTCCACCCCTGGCACCACCCACATCTAATGTCCTCACATTTAAAAACACAATCATGCCCTTCAAATAGTCGCCCAAAGTCCTAACTTATGCCAGCATGAACTCAAAAGTCCAAATCCAACATCTCATCTATTACAAGGCAAGTCCCTTCTGCCTATGAGCCTGTAAAATCAAAAGCAAGTTAGTTATTTCCTAAATACAGTGGTACAGACATTGGGTAAATACAACAATTCCAAATGGGAGAAATTTGCCAAAATGAAGAAGGTACAGGCCCCATGCAAGTTTGAAATCCAGTGGGGCAGTCAAATCTTAATGCTCTGAAATGGTCTCTTTTGACTCTATTTTTCACATCCAGAGCACTCTGATGCAAGAGGTGGGCTCCCAGCATCTTGGGCAGCTTAGCCCCTGTGGTTTTGCAGGGTACAGTATGCCTCCTGCCTTCTTCATGGGCTGGAATCAAGTGTCTGTGGCTTTTCCAGGTGCATGGTGGAAACTGTCAGTGGATCTACCATTCTGTGTCTGGAGATTGCTGGCCCTCTTCTCATAGCTCCACTAGGCAGTGAGCCAGTGAGGACTCTGCTGTGGGGTTCCCACCCCACATTTCCCTTTTGCACTGCCCTAGCAGAGGTTCTCCCTTAGGGCTCCACCCCTGTAGAAAACTTCTGCCTGGACATCCAAGCATTTCCATACATCCTCTGGAATCTAGTCAGAGGTTCCTAAACCTTAATTATTGACTTCTGTGCACCCACAGGCCTAACACTACATGGAAGCTACCAAGGCTCGGACTTGCATCTTCTGAAACAATTGCCATAGCTGGAGCATCTGGGATGCAGGGCCCCAAGTCCTGAGACTACACATAGCAGGGTGGGGGCTGGACCTAGCACATGAAAATATTTGTCCCTTTTAGGCCTCCTGGATTATGATGGGAACAGTTGCTGTGAAGGTCTCTGACATGCCCTGGAGATATTTTTCTCATTGTCTTGGTGATTAACTTTCAGCTCCTTGTTACTTATGCAAATTTCTGCAGCCAGCTTGAATTTATCCCCAGAAAATGTTTTTTATTTCCCAGCACATCATCGAGCTGCAAAATTTCCAAACTTTTGTGCTATGCTTCCTCTTGAATGCCTTGCTGCTTGACCACATAGCTCAACAACTTTGTAGGAAGTTCCAAACTTTTCCACCCTTGCCTGTCCTCTACTGAGTCCTCTAAACTGTTCCAACCTCTACCTGTTAACCAGTTCCAAATTTCTTCCACATTTTCAGATATTTTTAAAACAGCAACCCACTCTTTGTGGTACCAATTTACTGTATTAGTCAGTTCTCATGCTGCTAATAAAGATATACCTGAGACTCGGTAATTTAGAAAAGAAAGAGATTAAACTGACTCACAGTTCAGCATGGGTGGGGTGGCCTCAAGAAACACAATCATTGTGGAAGGGGAAGTAAACATGTCTTTCTTCACATGGCAGCAGGAGAGAGAAGAATGAGGGTAGAGCAAAGGGAGAAGCTCCTTATAAAACCATCAGATCTCGTGAGAACGTACTCACTATCCCAAGAATAGCATATTGGAAACCACCTCCATCATTGAATTACCTCCCACCAGGTTCCTCCCAAGACATGTGGGGATGATGGGAACTACAATTCAAGATTAGATTTGGGTGGGGACATGACCAACCCACATCACCACAGAAATAAAAATAACCATGAAATAATATTTTGAACACATCTATGCATATAAACTAGAAAATCTAGAAGAAATGTATACATTCCTGAGCACACACATGCTCCTAAGACTGAACCAGGAAGAAGTCGAATCCCTAAACAGACCAATAAGCAGCTCTGAAATGAGGCAGTAATTGGTAGCCTATCAACCAATAAAACCCCAGGACTAGATGGATTCACAGCTGAATTCTACCAAATGTATAGAGAAGAGCGAGTAATCTTCCTACTGAAACTATTCCCAAAAACTGAAGAGGAACAACTCCTCCCTAACTTATTCTATGAGGCCAGAATCATCCTGATACCAAAACCTGGCAGAGACACAACAGAGAAAGGAAACTTCAGGCCAGTATCCTTGATGAACATTGATGCAAAAATCCTAAACAAAATACTGACAAAATTCAGCAGCACATCCAAAATCTTATCCAAGACAATCAAGTAGGCTTTATCCTTGGAATGCAAGTTTGGTTCAACATATACAAATCAATAAATGTGATTCATCACATAAACAGAACTAAAGACAAAAATCACATGATAATTTCAATAGACGTAGAAAGGCTTTTGATAAAATTCAACACCCTTCATGTTAAAAACTCTCAGAAAATAGATATTAAAGGAACATATCTCAAAATAGTAAGAGGATCTATGACAAACTCTACAGCAAACATCATAATAAATGGGCAAAAGCTGGAAGCATTCCTATTGAGAACAGGCACAAGATAAAGATGCCCTCTCTCACCACATCTATTCAACATTGTACTGAAAGTCCTGGGCAGGGAAATTAGGCAAGAGAAGGAAATAAAGCGCACCCAAATAGAAAGACAGAAAGTCAAACTATCTCTGTTTGCAGTTGTCATTATCCTATATCTAAAAAAAACCCATGGACCCAGCCCAAAAGTTCCTTAAGCTGATAAACAACTTCAGCAAAGTCTCAGGCTACAAAATCAATGAGCAAACATCACTAATATTCATGGACACCAACAACAGTCAAGCCAAGAGCCAAATCAGGAATGCAATCCCATTCACAATTGCCACAAAAAGAATTTTAAAAATACTTAGGAATACAGCTAACAGGGAAAATTAAAGATCTCTACAAGCAGAACTGCAAAACACTGCTAAAAGAAATCAAAGATGACAAAATCAAGTGAAAAAAAGTTCCATGCATAAGAATAATAATGTTATTAAAATGGCCTCAATGCCCAAAGTAATTTATAGATTTAATGCTATTCCTATGAAACCATCATTGACATTCTTCACAGAATTATTTTAAAAAACTATTTTAAAATTCATATGGAAACAAAAAAGAGCCTGAATAGCCAAGGTAATTCTATGTTAAAAGAACAAAGCTAGAGTCATTAAGCTACTGAACTTCAAACTATAGTACATGACTATAGCAACCAATACAGCATGGTTCTGGCACAAAAACAAACACATAGACCAGTGAAACAAGCCCTTAATAATAAAGTTATTTTATGTACAGTGAGCTGATATACCTATGTAATGTTATATATGTGAAAGGTATGTATATTACAGTGCATGTTTATTATAAAATTATGCAACTTCCTCACCCAAAATAAGAAATGAACATATAAGAAATCAGAACAAAAGAAGCACTAGATATTAACAATTTTATAAACATCACTTCATTAAGTATTACATTCATATGTATGTATAGGTATTTATTATTTTTGCAAAATCTATATGTATACATACAACATGTACACATGTATTGATTTAATTAACTGACTCTAAAGATTACTGTAGCCTTTCATTATAACATTTGCAAGAGAAGAAAAATTTAGGTCAACATCATTTCAAATTGTACAGAAAATTATGAAAAATTATGAGATCAGAATATATGAAATCAAAATACCATAAATATGTAAGTCCATATGGACTACAGATAAATCTGTATTTTCTTTATTCTACATTTCCCTAATTCATATTTTTTATGGTTCTGAAGCTTCACATTCTTATATATAATTCACCATAATTTTATGTGATAATAATATACTTACTCAAATTTTTTTTGTGTGGATGTTACATGATGAGATAAAAATACACAAAAGCACAGCAAAAAGCATACTGAATAAGTTTGCAAGGTGTTTTACTTTTTTTGGCCCTCATTTTGTTTTGTCTCTAAAATGAAAAAAAAAAAAAAAAAGAACTGAGCTACCCTTAACACTCAAGAAGCAATTGGTGGTCATTTGTCTTCAATGGATGGTTTAGGAAATTAAATGTACCCCAAAATGCCCCCCCACCAAAAGGCAAGAAAAATATTAATGTTATAATTTGGAAAGAATTATTACGTGTGTTAGTGAAGGATTCTGGGAGCCCAGAAATAACTTATGTAGCTTCTAGAGTAGGCATACCTTAGGGATAATACGGGTTCAATTCCAGACCACCACAATGAAGCAAATATCACAAAAACCTAATTCACATAATTTTTTGGCCTCCTAGTGAGTATAAAAGTTATGTTTACAGTAGATTGTCTATTTAATAAGTATTCAGTAGCATTATGTCTACAAAATGTATACATACTTTCAAAAAATTTATTTTTAAAACTTTGTGATAATATGAACCTTCAGAGAGTTATAATCTTTTTGCTGGGGTAGGGTTTTGCCTCGATGTTGATGGCTGGCTGACTGATCAGAGAGATGGTTGCTAAACATTGGGGTGCTTCGGTAGGGCAATTTCTTAAAATAAGATAACAATGACGTTTGCAGCATCAATTCACTCACAAAAGATTTTCTGTTGCATGTGATGTTGTTTGATAGTATTTTATCCACAGTAGAACTTCTTTCCAAATTAGAGTCAGTTATCTCAAAACTTGACACTGCTTTATCAACTGAGTTTATGTAATACTGTGAAACTTTGTTGTCAACAATGTTTATAGCATCTTCACCAGGAGAAGATTCTATCTAAACACACAAATGAACAAAAGAAACAAACAAAAACACTTTGCTCTTAATAAGAAGCAACTCTTCCTATGTTCAACTTTTAACATGAAATTTCAATGATTCAGTCACATCTTCAGACTCCACTTTTAAATCTAATTCCCTAGTTATTTCTACTTTACCTGCAATCACTGTCTCCACTGAAGTATTGAATTCCTCAAAGTCATCTATGAGAGTTGGGATCAGCTTCTTTCAAAATCCTGTTCATAATGATATTTTGATCCCCTTTGATGAATCACAAACAGGTACATTTTCAATAAGCAGTAATATTTTGAAATATATCTTTATTGTTTAAGTTCTCAGTGGGGGCTTAAAATATTCAGTAAATCATTCTGTAAAGAAATGTGTTATCATTCAGGTTTTGTTCTATTTATAGAACATAGGCAGAGTAGACAAAGCATAATTATTAAGAACTGCAAGATTTTCAAAATGGTAGATGAGCATTGGCTTCAACTTAAATTCACCAGTTGCATTAGCCCTTAACTAGAAAGTCAACCTGTCCTTTGAAGCTTTGAAGACAAGCATTGACTTCTCTGGTATAACTCAAAAAGTCCTAGATGGCTTCTTCCAATATGAAGCTAATTTTCTACATTGAAAACCTGTTGTGTAGTGTAGTCACCTGCATAAATGATCTTAGCTAGATCTTCTGGATAACTCACTTCAGCTTCTCCAACATTCCTTGCTGCTTCACCTTGCACTTTTATGTCATGGGGATGCCTTCTGTTGTTCAATCTCATAAACCACACTCTGCTAGCTTCAAACTTTTCTTCTGCAGTTTCTTCACCTCTCTAAGCCATCTTAGAATTAGAGAAAGATAGAGCCTTGCTTTGGATTAGGCTTTGATTCATTACCAGTGAAATCTCAGAAGTACTTGAAAGATTTTCTTCCTTTCAAATTTCCTTGTTTGCCTTTTGATTGCTATTATTCTTAGTTTTCTGCCTAAATGACCATTTGGGTTTTGTCCCTTAAACTTAAATATTATCAAGAATTAGTCCACAGATTTCTATTTTGCAAATCCGTTTTGCATGATTAGGCTTTGGCTGGTTTGATCTTCTATCTAGACTGCTCAAACTTTCTCCATATTGACAATAAGTCTGTTTTCCTTCCTTATCATGTATGTATTCATTGGAGTAGCACTGTTAATTTCCTTCAGAAACTTTTCTTTTGGATTCACAACTTGGCTGACTGGTGCAACTGACTTATATTTTAATGTATCTTGGCTTTTGACATGCCTTCCTCACTAAGCTCAATCATTTCTAGCTTTTGATTTAAAATGTGACACTTGTGATCCTTTCTTTCACTTGCACATTTAGAAGCCATTGCAGGATAATTAATCGGCCTAATTTCGAAACTGTTATGTCTTAGGGAAAAGGGAAGCCTGAGGGGAGGGAGAGAGATGGGAGAATTGCTGGTCAGTGGAGTAGTCAGAACACACACATTTGCTTTCTTATGTGAGCATGGTTTGTGGTGCTCCCAAACAATTACAATATTAACATCAAAGACCACTGATCACAGATCACATAACAGATATAATAATAATAAACTCTGAAATATCGTGATAATTACCAAGATGTGAAACAGGGACATGAAATGAGCACATGCTGTTGATAAAATGTGCCCATATATTTGCTCAACACAGGATTGCCACTAATATTGAATTTATAAAAAACACAGTATCTGCAACATAGAGCTAAGCAAAGCACAATGAAACAAGGCTGCCAGTAATAAGGAATAGAACTATGAAGGAATACTTTTCCAGTGAACATATAAGATCAAGTTTAAGGGTCAGTTGAAATAACAGTAAACACTGAAATGAGGCCTAGGATAAACAAAAAATGAAAAAGTCAATAAGAGTCTTTCATATGGGTTTTCAGAAGAATTATAGTAATATTTGCCTATATAAAGAATGCAGAAGTAAAGGTAATACTTAAATTCACATTGGGTAAAAGATGAAAAATTCAATTTTAGACATTCTGAATTTAGGTGATGTGACATGTAACATAAAGTCCTAAAAATAGGGTGTAAATATGAAGTGAAATGTGAGGACAGGTTTAAATAATTTAGACAGTCAAGAATCTTACTTAGAGATAAAACAGTAAGCCTTTGTAGAAGACAAAGTTTCTGAAGCACCATACGTTCATACAGAGGGAAAACAGAAATCTGTAAATGAAATCTTGTTGAATGCTCAAGTTTAAGGGATAAAACCAAAACAGTTACTGAGGGAGGAAACTAAGAATAACAATCAGAAGCCAAGAGAAGAAATCTGAAAAAAAGAAAATCTTTAAGTACTTCTGAGATTTCAGTTGTAATATGCCCTGGGAAAAATGAATTGAGTTGGCTATTTGCTTATAAATATTGAGAAAAAAGAAGATACATATCATGGAAGTATCAGAAACCCATGCAATCTAAAATTATGTCAATTTTCTTTAATGATTTTCCAGGTCTCTCCAAATGCGTTATGGTAAGTGAAAACAAATGTGGATACCCTTTTGGCAATCCTCACAGCTTCCAGCAAATGCTAGAATAAGTACCCCTCCCAGTGGGTTCTTAAATGAATGACCTCGGTGAAGCCTTTTATATAGAATTATTTTGGACAGTCACTGCAATAGAGGTGTGTACTTGGGTGCTTGGGTACTTGGATGTGATTTGCCAAAAAGATACATTGTTACTTTTTTACCTGCTATATTCAAAAAGGATTACTAAAATGAGAATAACATCTGCTTCTAGATTATTTTGTAATAATTTGTCATATTGAATGGAATATATGGAAAAATATTTTATCTACAACAAAATCTACTATTGAGGGGGAATGTAAACAGGTTATCAAAATTATTTTTGTGATGGTAGATTGAGATTTCGAAAATTTTATTAACGGCCGGGCGCGGTGGCTCACGCCAGTAATCCCAGCACTTTGGGAGGCCGAGGTGGGCGTATCACAAGGTCAGGAGATCGTAGCCACCCTGGCTAACACGGTAAAACCCTGGCTCTACTAAAAATACAAAAAGAAATTAGCTGGGTGTGGTGGCAGGCACCTGTAGTCCCAGCTACTCGGGGGGCTGAGGCAGGAGAACGGCGTGAACCCAAGAGGCGGAGCTTGCAGTGAGCCGAGATCGCGCCACTGCACTTCAGCCTGGGCAACAGAGACTCCGTCTCAAAAAAAAAAAAAAAAAAAAAATTATTAACTAAATCTATTAACATTTGGGCCTATTTCAATGTCTCAAATATGTCCAGGTTCTTTCCAGGTAAATTGCTCAGCCTCACCAACAATGATCTTTCCTCACATCTCTACAGGTTTACTTCCTATTATTTAGCTCTCAGTTCCAATGTCACCTCGTGAGAGAAACTTTCCCTCGAACATTGACCAATACCATCCCTCCTACAGCTGCTCTGCATTCTATTAGCTAGTTTTATTTACTTCATAACATTTATTAATATCTGAAATTACTTCAGTCAGTTGCCAGTCACTACATTTATAATGTAAGCTCCATGAGGACACAGAGTTCACTGCCATTTTTCCAGCACTTAGAACAATGCCTAGGATATAGTAGGTGTTCACCAAAGTTAGGTGTTCATCAAAGTCAAAGATTACTTCTTCAAAGGTAGGGAAAAGGCAAATAATAAAAGAAGACCTGTATCCACCAAGGCTGAAGAGTAAATTCAGTCATTTTTCTTTTACAACAAAATTATCTGATTTTTAAATAGTATGATAAACTGCTAATACTGGAACCAACAAAGAAGGTATTCATTTACTGTTTAGCCAACAATTGCAAAAGTGATTTGTTTGTTTTACCAAAAACATCTTCCAGAGATCTATTTTTGTCAACAATAAAATAATTTTTCTTACAGAAAAGCATAGGAAAATACTTCACTATCAACTCTTCTTCTAGTGTTTTACTCAGCAACCATTAGCTTCGTTGTTTCCATGTATCGAGTGAAAAAAGAAAATCTTGGCTCCAACCATTTTTTATTGCCAATTATCCTCTCTCCAGAATTGTAAAAATAATCATTTTCTTATATTTATATAGAGATTTCCAATTATTCAAGTGCTAATAAAGAAAAGTATAGGCTATTCTAGGACTTTAATAAGAAAACTAAGACAAGAAAAATGAAGTTATGTGGCAACAAAAAAAATAGAAAATTTAAAGGAATTCTGAACTGTTTTGGTTGAAGAATGTGTCTTCAAATGCTAGTATAATCCTCAAGAAATTAAACAGAGAAAACAATCTAGAATAAAAATTCAAAAAATGTCTTTCTACAATTTTAAGCTTAAAATGAAATTTAAAAGTTTATCAAGAGAGGTCATCAAACTCATGAGATGATGGGCAGAAACATATTTTTAAGAGAAAGGTATTTATTATGGAACACTTACTGGTGAATTAGGATAATCATTGAGCTTTCAATTGTAACTTTGCAATTTAGCCCGTGAAGCTTTTTGTTTATTAGAACTGTAATTAAACTAACAACAGAACTCAAAGTATGTTTTCACAATATTTTAATTATAACAAAAAATAGTTTCCAAGAAAACATTTAAATGTACAATTATAGCTGCTTAAAAGGAATACTTTATTATGAAATCCAGATTAATATTTTAACAAGTATTCATTTTATTTAAAGATAGAGTTATTACTGAACTGGCATTTTTATTGATATTTGTGTTTGCTGCTTTCCATATTGGTTCATCTGGAAGTCGAATTTTATTTGCTAATTATTTTGTTAATTTCTTTTTATAGTTAATTATAGCAGCAATGTTATAAAATGATGCATTCATATTAGATCAAATTGTGACATCTGCCTAACAAATTTAATAACGTGTGAGAGACACCACACTGACTCTGATATCATTACAAAACAATGTATCAACATTTAAATTCTGTAATCTGTAGTTTAGGGTTGTATTAGAATGTAATATATGCTACAGAAACCATAGCTTATATCTGAAAAGCTCAGGTAAAATCCAGTGATAGTATTACTTGGTGGCTTTATGAAGAAATAATCTATGTCTCATTGGATTAAAATATCAATCCAAAAGCAGAGTCATTAAGATCAAGAGAGTTGAGATCTAGCACATCTAAATGTTCGCAATATTTAATTGTGCTAAAATATGAGATATGAATAAGACCCACCTTAGTTCAGCTAATCTTTTTACTACAAATGTTGATACTTAACAGTTGTTTTCTAATTTTAGATATTGAAGGTGAATTGCTCAGATTTCCACTTACGGATATGATGGAGTAGCTATTAGTAAACAAATGGCTTGAAGGGTTGTTGAATTTTGTCAAAGGCCTTTTCTGCATCTATTGAGATAATCATGTGGTTTTTGTCTATGGTTCTGTTTATATGCTGGATTCCATTTATTGATTTGCGTATATTGAACCAGCCTTGCATCCCAGGGATGAAGCCCACTTGATCATGGTGGATAAGCTTTTTGATGTGCTGCTGGATTCGGTTTGCCAGTATTTTATTGAGGATTTTTGCATCAATGTTCATCAAGGATATTGGTCTAAAATTCTCTTTTTTGGTTGTGTCTCTGCCCGGCTTTGGTATCAGGATGATGCTGGCCTCATAAAATGAGTTAGGGAGGATTCCCTCTTTTCCTATTGATTGGAATAGTTTCAGAAGGAATGGTACCAGTTCCTCCTTGTACCTCTGGTAGAATTCGGCTGTGAATCCATCTGGTCCTGGACTCTTTTTGGTTGGTAAGCTATTGATTATTGCCACAATTTCAGATCTTGTTATTGGTCTATTCAGAAACTCAACTTCTTCCTGGTTTAGTCTTGGGAGAGTGTATGTGTCGAGGAATTTATCCATTTCTTCTAGATTTTCTAGTTTATTTGTGTAGAGGTGTTTGTAGTATTCTCCGATGGTAGTTTGTATTTCTGTGGGATCGGTGGCTATATCCCCTTTATAATTTTTTATTGCGTCTATTAGATTCTTCTCTCTTTTTTTCTTTATTAGTCTTGCTAGCGGTCTATCAATTTTCTTGATCCTTTCAAAAAACCAGCTCCTGGATTCATTAATTTTTTGAAGGGTTTTTTGTGTCTCTATTTCCTCCATTTCTGCTCTGATTTTCGTTATTTCTTGCCTTCTGCTAGCTTTTGAATGTGTTTGCTCTTGTTTTTCTAGTTCTTTTAACTGTGATGTTAGGGTGTCAATTTTGGATCTTTCCTGCTTTCTCTTGTGGGCATTTAGTACTACAAATTTCCCTCTACACACTGCTTTGAATGTGTCCCAGAGATTCTGGTATGTTGTGTCTTTGTTCTCGTTGGTTTCAAAGATCATCTTTATTTCTGCCTTCATTTCGTTATGTACCCAGTAGTCATTCAGGAGCAGGTTGTTCAGTTTCCATGTAGTTGAGCGGTTTTGAGTGAGTTTCTTAATCCTGAGTTCTAGTTTGATTGCACTGTGGTCTGAGAGACAGTTTGTTATAATTTCTGTTCTTTTACATTTGCTGAGGAGAGGTTTACTTACAAGTATGTGGTCAATTTTGGAATAGGTGTGGTGTGGTGCTGAAAAAAATGTATATTCTGTTGATTTGGGGTGGAGAGTTCTGTAGATGTCTATTAGGTCTGCTTGGTGCAGAGCTGAGTTCAATTCCTGGGTATCCTTGTTAACTTTCTGTCTCGTTGATCTGTCTAATGTTGACAGTGGGGTGTTAAAGTCTCCCATTATTATTGTGTGGGAGTCTAAGTCTCTTTGTAGGTCACTCAGGACTTGCTTTATGAATCTGGGTGCTCCGGTATTGGGTGCATATATATTTAGGATAGTTAGTTCTTCTTGTTGAATTGATCCCTTTACCATTATGTAATGGCCTTCTTTGTCTCTTTTGATCTTTGTTGGTTTAAAGTCCGTTTTATCAGAGACTAGGATTGCAACCCCTGCCTTTTTGTGTTTTCCATTTGGTGGTAGATCTTCCTCCATCCTTTTATTTTGAGCCTATGTGTGTGTCTGCATGTGAGATGGGTTTCCTGAATACAGTACACTGATGGGTCTTGACTCTTTATCCAATTTGCCAGTCTGTGTCTTTTAATTGGAGCATTTAGTCCATTTACATTTATTGATGGGACGTATCTCAAAATAATAAGAGCTACCTATGACAAACCCACAGCCAATATCATACTGAATGGGCAAAAACTGGAAGCATTCACTTCGAAAACTGGCACAAGACAGGGATGTCCTCTCTCACCACTCCTGTTCAACATAGTGTTGGAAGTTCTGGCCAGGGCAATTAGGCAGGAGAAGGAAATGAAGGGTATTCAGTTAGGAAAAGAGGAAGTCAAATTGTCCCTGTTTGCGGATGACATGATTGTATATCTAGAAAACCCCATCGTCTCAGCCCAAAATCTCCTTAAGCTGATAAGCAACTTCAGCAAAGTCTCAGGATACAAAATCAATGTACAAAAATCACAAGCATTCTTATACACCAATAACAGACAAACAGAGAGCCAAATCATGAGTGAACTCCCATTCACAACTGCTTCAAAGAGAATAAAATACTTAGGAATCCAACTTACAAGGGATGTGAAGGACCTCTTCAAGGAGAACTACAAACCACTGCTCAATGAAATAAAAGAGGATACAAACAAATGGAAGAACATTCCATGCTCATGGGTAGGAAGAATCAATATCGTGAAAATGGCCATACTGCCCAAGGTAATTTATAGATTCAATTTATAGATCCCCATCAAGCTACCAATGACTTTCTTCACAGAATTGGAAAAAACTACTTTAAAGTTCATATGGAACCAAAAAAGAGCCCGCATCGCCAAGTCAATCCTAAGCCAAAAGAACAAAGCCGGAGGCATCACACTACCTGACTTCAAACTATACTACAAGCCTACGGTAACCAAAACAGCATGGTACTGGTACCAAAACAGAGATATAGATAAATGGAACAGAACAGAGCCCTCAGAAATAACGCCGCATATCTACAACTATCTGATCTTTGACAAACCTGAGAAAAACAAGCAATGGGGAAAGGATTCCCTATTTAATAAATGCTGCAGGGAAAACTGGCTAGCCATATGTAGAAAGCTGAAACTGGATCCCTTCCTTACACCTTATACAAAAATTAATTCAAGATGGATTAAAGACTTAAACGTTAGACCTAAAACCATAAAAACTCTAGAAGAAAACCTAGGCATTACCATTCAGGACATAGGCATGGGCAAGGACTTCATGTCTAAAACACCAACAGCAATGGCAACAAAAGCCAAAATTGACAAATGGGATCTAATTAAACTAAAGAGCTTCTGCACAGCAAAAGAAACTACCATCAGAGTGAACAGGCAACCTACAAAATGGGAGAAAATTTTTGCAACCTACTCATCTGACAAAGGGCTAATATCCAGAATCTACAATGAACTCAAACAAATTTACAACAAAAAAACAAACAACCCCATCAAAAAGTGGGCAAAGGATATGAACAGACACTTCTCAAAAGAAGACATTTATGCAGCCAAAAAACACATGAAAAAATGCTCACCATCACTGGCCATCACAGAAATGCAAATCAAAACCACAATGAGGTACCATCTCACACCAGTTAGAATGGCAATCATTAAAAAGTCAGGAAACAACAGGTGCTGGAGAGGATGTGGAGAAATAGGAACATTTTTACACTGTTGGTGGGACTGTAAACTAGTTCAACCATTGTGGAAGTCAGTGTGGCGATTCCTCAGGGATCTAGAACTAGAAATACCATTTGACCCAGCCATCCCATTACTGGGTATATACCCAAAGGACTATAAATCATGCTGCTATAAAGACACATGCACACGTATGATTATTGCGGCACTATTCACAATAGCAAAGACTTGGAACCAACCCAAATGTCCAACAATGATAGACTGGATTAAGAAAATGTGGCACATATACACCATGGAATACTATGCAGCCATAAAAAATGATGAGTTCATGTCTTTTGTAGGGACATGGATGAATTTGTAAATCATCATTCTCAGTAAACTATCGCAAGGACAAAAAACCAAACACCACATGTTCTCACTCATAGGTGGGAATTGAACAATGAGAACATATGGACACAGGAAGGGGAACATCACACTCTGGGGACTGTTGTGGGGTGGGGGGAAGGGGGGAGGGATAGCATTAGGAGATATACCTAATGCTAAATGACGAGTTAATGGGTGCAGCACACCAGCATGGCACATGTATACATATGTAACTAACCTGCACATTGTGCACATGTACCCTAAAACTTAAAGTATAATAATGATAAAAAATTAAAAAATAAAAAAAGACAAAAAAAACAAAAAAAAATGGCTTTGGAGAACAACTAGAATAGCTAGATAATATTTTAAAGAACCAATTTCTTTAAGGGTATTACCAGTCTCCCAAGCCAGCCATACCTTGAAGGGCCAAGGTCACAGAATATTGAGAGTTAATATTATGTGCATCACTTTTGATCTTTACTATGACCCACTGTAAACCTTAGATACACCTCACAAATTTTGTATTTTTATTAACATTTTGGATTGAAATGTTGTCTATTTTTCCTTGAGATTTATTTTTGACCCATAGGTTATTAAAACGTATGCTGTTTAATTTTTAGATAATTGAGATGTTTCTAGATATTTTTACTTACACATGTGTATATATACATATTCATAAACACATATATATTTATGTGTGTGTGTGCGTGTAACTGGTTTGGTTTCTAATAGGTAGAAATGATTTTACAGTTCGAATTCAATGCCCTTCTGATCTGAGATCATACTCTGTATGAGTTAAATCATTTTAAATATATCATCTTATTTTTGTTTTATGACAAGCATATTGTGTTTCATGGTGAATACACCATATGAATTTGAAAATAATATGTATTCTGCAGCTGTGGGTTGAAGTGCTCTAAAATACCTATTAGACCAAAATGGTTGATAGCATTATTCAGATCATCTGACAACCACTTTTTCTTTCTCTAGTTGTTTTATCAATTACTGAGAGATGTATTCAAACTTAATAGTTGTCATTTTTGTCTCTCTAGTATTGATAAATCTAAGATTTATGTAATAAACTTGAATATTATGGGTTCAGGGAAGGAATATAAAGGAGAGACAAAGAAATAGCCAATTTGGCAAATACAAATATTTCGGATTAATAATGATTTTGCATTAATCTCTAGAAGTGGAAGAAATGCCAGAAGCCTGCAGAGATAACTTATACTGTGGACAATGCCTAGAGGTCACAATCCTACCAACTAAAAATAACCATATTTTATATAAAAGGAAAAAATAATGGGAATTTGAGAGATTTTTTAAAATTTAATTTTAGGAGACCTTTTAAAAGACAACCATTTATAGAGCTTTGGTACTGCACTGTTTTACTTTTTGGAGGGAGAAAATGTGTTAAAGCAAATAACAATGTTGGTTACTTAATTCTGTGTATTATTTCAGTGTTTTGGAAAACTCCTCTTTGACATTTATATTTCTCTTTTTTTTCTTTTAATTTATCTATTTTTATTATACTTGAAGTTTTAGGGTACATGTGCACAACGTGCAGGTTTGTTACATACGTATACATGTGCCATGTTGGTGTGCTGCACCCATTAAATTGTCATTTAACATTAGGTATATCTCCTAATGCTATCCCTCCCCCCTCCCCCCACCCCACAACAGGCCCCGGTGTGTGATGTTCCCATTCCTGTGTCCAGGTGTTCTCATTGTTCAATTCCCACCTATGAGTGAGAACATGTGGTGTTTGGTTTTTTGTCCTTGCGATAGTTTGCTGAATTATGACCAACTTGACTACATGTTAAATTTTATATTTTGCTTTGCAGGAAATCAAATATCTTAAGGTGTTCTTGTCCTTTTGACCATAACATTTCCAAGGGCTAGGAGATAACAGAATAGGACTGTTTTTCTGTGAGTATACACCTAAGATTTCTTTCAAAAAATCTAATTTGTCAAAGTGTTAGTAATATAATAGAATGAATTTAAAGAGAATTTGAAAAGTTAAGTATGTATAGCAGTTGAAGTGATCCTGGAATATCATTGCTGGGTTGGAGACTAAACTGGTAAATGAGAGTAGAACTTTAGATGGGCCACTGGGCTCTTTTAATTTGTGGAAATTAGAATAAATTTTCGTGCCTATTTAGCTGTTCTTTAATTACGACCCCATGACAACACATTCTGTTTTAGGAAACTTCTACTTTCTGTTGGCCTTTCGTATACCTGGAGCAAACACTTTACAGAAATGTTCCCCATCCTCTAGGGGAGAGAAGTTTGTTCTATAAGCTCTTATCTATTCTTAATTAGAAATTTCACTTGAAAGACTCCAATAAGCTATTACATAATATGATACCCATACATCATAGTGGCTTTTAGTGCTATCCTTGGTAATATTTTAAAAATTAGTATTTTCCTAGTTCTACTTTCTGTATAAGGTGTTTGTCTTAGCAACAAATAATTTTCTGTCTTATGAAGCATAGAGCCTAGATCCTAAATGAGGATCTGATTATTACAATCGTATAAATTTTATGTGTGAAAACACATAGGTACAAACATACCAATGAAGTTTTCTAATTAATAACCACAGATGACAATATTTGCAGACCTAAAACCATCAAACTTACATAACCACTAAGTAGAAATAAGATATTTCAGTAAGTACATCAATTGATTGCAATAAAGAGAATAATGGTATTAATATTGATGAGATTTGCTGAGTTAAACTGTGGTGCTGTATGCCATCATTATTCCCAGGTGCATTTTATTTTCAATTAAAAAAATCACACAAACATAGGATTTATAAAATTAGATGAGCTGCACTGACAATGAACTCTCCCATATTGAAAACCTTGTCTAGGAGGTGAATTTTATGTAATCAATATCATCTGCATTTCATCACTAGCAGGGTTTGTAACAGGTTTTAAGTGTCTTGATGCATGATATAATTCAGAAGCTCATACACTAGGAACAACAACAACAAACAAACAAACAAACAAAAAAACAGAAGAACCCAAACTCATTCCTAGCTCTTTTGCAGGGAAGAATGGAAACAAAAATATGTGCTCCTTTCAAGCTTTTTTTTTTTTTAAAGAAAATACATTTTTGGGCCTGATTATTCTAACTGCTAAAAGGCATAGCATTTTCAAAATTACCTTCAAATTTAAAATTAATAGTGGCTATTTTTGTAATAGTAAGCTTCCCACCTATACTTTTGTAACAGTAATATGCACATCTGAAACAGCAAAGCACAATTGATATACATGTTCACAATGAGAACCTGCTCAGGGATAGCACTGACTGATTTCACCACAGTCACTGGCAGCATATCTCATAGCAGGATCGATAATATTTTGCCCTGAAATCCTTCTCAGATGTTTATTCAAACAGTGATTTCTCCAGAATTGGGAAACATCTGGAAAACATGACATATAAGGAATATCAGAGTTCCTGAAATATAATTCAGTATAAGCAAATCGTGTTATTCTTTGTGGCTCTGGGGAGTCAAACTAGGATTACAGGTTAGAAATTACTGTGAAGCAGATCCAGTTCTAAATTAACAGAACTCACTGGCAGTTAGATTAGTCAATAATTTAGAAAGAGGATATCCACAATAATTACTGCAGAAGGAAGCTCTGCATTGTCTAGAGCATGCTGGCATTGCTAATGCATAGATGGGATTTGAAACCTGAACTTCAAAGATTTAGATCTGACATTTGTTTTTATCTTTTTTTAAATTCTTCCATAAGTTATTGGGATACAGGTGGTATTTGGTTACATAAGTTCTTTAGTGGTGATTTGTGAGATTTTGGTGCACCCATCACCTGAGCAGTATACACTCCGCCTACCTGTATTCTTCTATCCCTCACCCCCTCCCACTCTTCCCCCCAAGTCCCCAAAGACCACTGCATCATTCTTATGCCTTTGCGTCCTCATGCCTTAGCTCCCACATATCAGTGAGAACATATGATGTTTCAATTTCCATTCCTGAGTTACTTTGCTTAGAATAATAGTGTCCAATCTCATCCAGGTCATTGCAAATGCTGTTAATTCATTCTGTCTTATGGCTGCACAGTATTCCATTGTATGTATATACCACAGTTTCTTTATCCACTCCATGATTGATGGGCATTTAGGTTGGTTCCACGATTTTGCAGTTGTGAATTGTGCTTCCATAAACATGTGTGTGCAAGTATCTTTTTCGAATAATTACATCTTTTCCTCTGGGTAGATACCCAGCAGTGGGATTGCTGGATCAAATGGTGGCTCTACTTTTAGATCTTTAAGGAATCTCCACCCTGTTTTCCATAGTGGTTGTACTAGTTTGCATTTCCACCAGCAGCGTGGAAGTATTCCCTGTTCACCACATCCATGTCAGCATCTACTGTTTTTTGATTTTTTGATTATGGCCATTCTTGCAGGGTGAAGTGGTACCGCATTGTGCTTTTGATTTGCATTTCCCTGATCATTAGTGATGCTGAGCATTTTTTCATACGTTTCTTGGCCATTTGAATATCTTCTTTTGAGAATTGTCTACTCATGTCCTTAGCCCATTTTTTGATGGGATTGTTTGTTTTATCTTACTGATTTGTTTGAGTTCATTGTAGATTCTGGTTATTAGTCCTTTGTTAGATGTATAGATTGTGAAGAACTTTTCCCATTCTGTGGATTGTCTGTTTACTCTACTGACTGTTCCTTTTGCCATGAAAAACTTCTTTAGTTTAATTAGGTCCCAGCTATTTATCTTTGTATTTATTGTATTTGCTTTTGGATTCTCGGTCATAAAATCCTTGCCTAAGCCAATGTCTAGAAGGGTTTTTCCGATGTTATCTTCCAGAATTTTTATAGTTTCAGGTCTCTCACCTTATACAAAAATCAAATCAAGATAAAGATCTGTCATTTGTGAATTGTTTGATCTTTATGAAATTTCTTAGCTACACTTTCTATTATCACCCTGGACCACTGTTCTTGGATCCAGTGTGAGTCCATCATGCCCTACATTGTCCAGGTCTCCCTCACAAACAATGGCTCTGCACAACATGCCACACCCCTGCTGCACATCCAAATTCAAAGACCATATGACATTTTATGCACTAACATTTCTTTGATGCCATCAAAGACACATCAATGCCAAAGGAGACTTTAAACATCACTGAGTTTTTAGGAATACCAATACTCCCTGTAACTTTTCAATGTCGGTGGGCCCATGGATGAATTAAGTCCTCTACCATTGGACTGGAGCTATTTAGACAACTGGTCCTTTGTTGAGGTGACATATATTCCCTTCCCCATGTGTTCCTTTGCAGAGTGTCACAGAATGTTTGTCTCTAGAAGAGGCCTTTCATTCAGGAGTTTTGAGGTGCCAGGTGTTACTGCACAATGACATCTCTGGATGGATGAGACCATCCCACTTACCAATCAGATGTCCCAAATGTCCATCTCCCTTGGGGGCCAATCAGAAAGCTGGTTCCATTTTTTATATACATCCTCATACCAGGGATAGTGTCTGTGCCTTAGAGATCATGATGTCAAACCTGTCTCTACCCATGACATAACTATGGCTAAAGCCACAGCTAATTCAATACAGCAACAGGACTCACTAAATGCCCAGATGAAAGTGATCCTGGACAACTGCATTGCCCTTGACTACCTTCTGGTTGAATAAAAAGAGGTGTCGTAATTAACACATTCTGCTCTGTCATCAGTAACAGTCAGCATATGGAGACTAACATGCAGAAATTGAATGAACAAGAACACTGGCTCTTGTTAGTTTTACTGTACTTACCATTATAGTTAATACTTGACCTTGTCAACTGGCTGAATTTGGGCATGTAGGGTGAAAGTTGTAGACTCTTCTCCAAGCAGTCTTGATTATCATTCTGGAGTGGGCTGCCTCCTGGACCTTATCAGTGCTGCTTCAATTGACAGGATCTCCATGAGTTCTTATAGGTATCACAGATAATACAAGCAGTACTGGGACAAAGGGACACAGCTATGGCTAATCATCTAATGGTTGACAGGTCTATGTAAGTGATGCATAAGGTCTACTTTTGCAGGACACATGAGAGTCAGGGGTAAACAGTGAGGGAAAGATCCAAGTGCAGCCTAATGTGTCCTTTATGTTCCCAAGAAGAACCATGTGCTCAGTACAAGACATTCTGACAAACTCACAAATCTCATTGTATGCAAAGAACTAAAAGCATCACCAGTTGGTCCCTGTTCTCTCTGTATAAGACGCATGTAAACTTCTCTTGAAACTGTTTAGCTATGCATGTGTCAGAGCCCCTACTGGAGTACTAAGTTGGATGGGTGCAGCCACACTATTCCATGATGGCTGCTCTATGGATACACCAGTCATGGGGAATCCACACACTACAAAGGACTGGGTCTTATGCACTCACTCTCTACACTTGCTGTATGTAAATGTTGAGCCTGGTGTTAAGTGTTGTTTGCTCTTAGCAAGCTTGAATCATGAACTAGTATATTTCCTGGATGGTACAATATCTGTCTTTCCATCTTGGCAACACTTGAGATATATTCTATCTTGTGGCACAGCTTGACCACTTAGTGAAACAGTATTCTTATGTGGAAATAGCCATCACAGGGTTACTGTCTAGGAAAATTGACCTAAAGCAGTTATCAAAATCCCTTACAGGAAATTGATTTTGGAACTGGATGACCTGTCAGCTGGATTAAAATGTCAAATACTTCTCTAGGGTCAAGTAAAGAACTTATAGCCCCTCATTGGTTAAGGTCATACAATTGCTAAAATTTCACTGGTAGTTCTTTGCAATGGGGTAAAAGTGGAAGGAAATGTAGCCCAGGAAGTGTGTGACTGAAAAACAAATCCATGAACTCATAGTAGTTCACACAATAATGGTAATGTATAGCCAACATGGCTCAGCATCAATTGTACAGAATATATGAAATTATATTTGGAATGTTTAAGATCAAGCAAGATGTAATGAGAAATTCGATTAGTGAGTATTTATTAATATAGGAGAATTATCCTGTGACATAGGCAAGGCCCCAAGTACAGGATGCTAATGAGTGGCTAGTTGGACACTTGGAAGCTTATAGGAAGTAACAGCCCCAGACTGTGAAGAGAAAATGCTGGAACTGACGTAATAAATGGCGGATGAAGGGATCAAAAGCATCAATATATGGAATATATTCAGCTGGATATACTATGTAAGACAGAAAACCCTGTCCCAAAGGAAGGCCTGGGGGACATTGTATTTAGCAAAGTGATAAGAAATGCACTACCGAGATGAGGATCAGAATTGTTGAGAATTTCAGTGATGGGAATTCTCTGTAGACTAGGGTTGATGGTAGCCCAGGGTAGGAAGTACTATTACAGAATTGGACTTCCTGAAAGCAAGGGAGATACAACAACTAAAAATAATAGAGACCAGGTGGCCGTGCTTAACTTTGAAATGTAATGAGCTAAAGGTTTAAGTGACTGTCAGGGGGCATGGCTAACAGAGAGCTATGACGATAGGTATAGACACTTCTAAGAATAAGATTGATGGACTGATAACAAGGGTATTCCTCAATTTGTAGAACCAAAAAATAAATAACAGATTTTTAGGTGACTGCAATGTAAAGATTCATTGTCCAATTTCTGATTGAACCAGTTCTCAAAGTTGAACTTTGTAAAAAATAGAAAATGGGTCCCAGTGTTCCATTGAGAAAGAGACCCTCAGAATAATATGATAAATTAATACTGCAATGATTTCCTTAGTTCTTTCCCAGTGTGACCTGTGACCATTTATAAAGGGGACTCAATACGCTAAAATGGGGAACACACAAACACTTTTAGGACAGTTGAACATGTGGTCAAATTTGACATTCATACCCACGAACTCAAAGTTCCATCGTGACTTGCTATTCAAATAGGGGGTGTTGGCTGAGTGTGGTGGCTCACACCTGTAATCCCAGCACTTTGGGAGGCAGAAGTGGGAGGATCACCTGAGGCCAGGAGTTCAAGACTAGCCTGGGCAACACAGCAAGATCTCATCTCAAGAAATAATTAAAAAATTCACCAGGCATGGTAATGTACATCTGTAGTTTCAGCTACTTGGGAAGCCTAGGCAGAAAGATCACTTGAGCCCAGGAAGTTGAGGCTGTAGTGAGCCATGATCTCACTGCTGCACTCCAACCTGGGTGACAGATCAACACCCTGCCTCAAAAATAAATAAAAACAAATTAGAGGTGTTTAGGAATCAGATAATAAATGGAATCTGGCTCACAGTGGGTCTGTTGCTTCCACAGTTGTAGGTGGTTATATTTCTGGCCCTTGAATATATTAATACAAACAATACTGGTAGTTGGCAGAACTCATACTTCGGCTTATTGGCTTATAAATAAAATAAAAGGTATAATAGTGAAGCAGGCCAAGCAAAGGTCTATGAAACTGCCTCCTTATTTTAGCTAAGATATTAAATACAAAATACTGCATATAGGGCAGACAGTAGAGATTAATGCCTCCATAAAAACTGAGAATGGAAAAGTGGTGGTTCCCAATATTCCCCTGCTGTCTCCTCATATTAAACCTAATGAACAACAGTAGACTAATTCATCTCAACCAAGTAATAATTTTAACTCTAACGTTGTGTCTGATGTAGCATATTCATTGAGAAGGTTAATACAGCCTCATGTATATGGTATGCAGCCATTGATTAAGCAATACATTCCTCGCATCCTCTCTCTAGAAAAATCAAAAGCAGCTTGTATCTATGTGGAAAGGATAACAGCACACATATGCTTGCCCAAAGGCTATGTTAATTATCCTCCTCTCTACTATGTTAATAACATTAATTCAATCAGTGAATGACCACAAAATAGCAAGTATGATGGAGGCCATGTTCACACTTGGTGCCCCAGAAGTTGGGAAATAAATCCCATGAAGGTTCGGGGTTGGTCTCTGAGAAAGTGATATTTGAGCAAACACTGAGAGGAAGTGAAAGAGTTGGTCAAGCACCCAACTCAGAAATGGCAGAACGAAAAGCCAGTGTGAAGGATACGCTGAGGGGAGGATACGCTGTGTCAGGGAACACCAGAAGGCAAGTGTGGCTGGAATTATGTGACCAAAGGGAAAAGTAGAAGATGATATCCAAGAACAAATAAGTCATTCGAATTATTTTGGGTTAGAATTTGTATAGAAGAATGCATTAATTCTTACTAATTTTTATGACTAATTTTCAATATTCTTGGCTCCTGTTTTTCTAGAAGTACCTTAGTTTGTATACTTTTTCTTCAAATTATTACTTCATTCATTTATCCATCTATTCATTTATGAGATCTGTTGACCACTTGCTATTTAACTGAGTGCTTAGAATATCAATAAACAAAACAAACTAAGATCCCTGCCCAGTGTAAGTTATATTTTAGTGGGGCCTGGAAGGTGAGGGCAAAAATGTAATAAATAAGTAAACAATATAGAATGTTGAAAATTAGTCATAAAAATTATAAAATATACAAGGATACAGATAAAACAAAATTAATGCAAAATTTGTATAGAAGAATGAAGTAATCTGAACTGCATGTTTGCTTTTAGAAAGTTCATGTTCACATCAATTTCCTGAAAGCATGGAAACTTATGTATCTCATTTTTTTTCCATTGAGAAATTTTACTATTAAGAAATATTTTTATTTTCCTTTTGCTTTTGCTCTTTCGTTACCACTTTTTAAATTTCAGGAATTAGGTATAAGAACCACAGTACTTAGTTCTATTTTCTTTTATTTTCTCACTGGGAAATCAACATCAGTTAACACACACACACACACACACACACACACACACACTAATCTTATAATCATTTTTTTGTTTTATCCAAATTTTATTCTATTTGGTTGAGATGTATTATAACACTTGGTTTTGGAATTGTGGCATTTTCTATTGTTATTGGAGCAATAAGTTTAGTCTTCCTGTGTTTTTAGTTTTCAGTACATTTCAGAGAAGGATCCAAGTCCTTCCTCTGAAAGGCCAAACTTGAAAAAAAAACATTCCAAAGTATAGTTCTTGCTTCTGTGTAACAAAATATGTAAAGACTACTTTTCTATAAAAACAACCACAAAACTTGCAGATATCAATTCTTCAAAAACTAACTCATGTATTCAAAATACTTATGAAATATTTGCAAGACATCTGAAAATACCAATTAAGTCAATGTTATACATTTATCTGTCACAGAAAACACTTGAAATTGGTTATTGTAATTCCAAATACAGTGCTTTTTCTGTGCTGCTATGCTGAATTTCTCTATATTTTCAGTGTTGGATATTCTCAGTCCTGAGCTGATCTGGACATTTCTCTGAACCCTCATGAATATCCAGTGGAGGTCCCTACATTCATGACAACACTGACTACCACCAAGTCTTATCTTTGTACAAATGAATAATTAGATCAGGAAGAGAAGTTGATACAACTACAAAAATAACACACTAGAACTCACAAATTTGTTAAAAATATTCTTACGGTGACAATATTACTTGAGATTTGTTTCCAGTCCTGGTATTACTTATATTTGAAATACTAGGAAATAGTATAGTGCTTAAAGTGGAACTCAGGACAATTACTATAATTATTCATTGAATTACTCTTTCTCAGTAAAATAGATAATGTCAGAAAAATAGCTACCATTTATTCAGTACTAACTTTGTACTAGGCACTGTTCTCGTTGCTTTGCTTACGTTAACTAACTTACTCTTCAAAAATAGCATGAGATAGATACTATTATTATGCCTGTTTTTAGATAAGAAAATTATAGCATAGGTATATTAAGTGACATTTTTAAGGTCAACAGTTGGTAAAGATTAAAGACAAAATTCCAACCTAGACAGTCTGACCTTAAAATGATAAAATATTAGTGACTCAGTTTACCTCTTATTTTTTCTCAATAGGTCACAAAGTGAAGGATAAATCAGATTTAAACATATGTAACTTTAGCAAGAAAACAGACACATTAAGAAAACTTGGCATTAACACTTCAAAATAATTTTGCAAGCTAAATTTAGATATAGATATAACTTCAATAAATTACTTTAATTCTAAAAATGAAGTCAATTACATATGCTTCTATAGATTGCAAAATTAAACCAAACTTGACATTGCCAATAATCTCCAATGAAATAATGTAATTTCACAATGAAATGGGTGAAAATGAACTAATTAGCTATAAATTTAAAAAATAATATTCTAAATGTGTGAATTTTAAAAAACCTCTGTTCTATACACTTGCAAATTTTCTTTAAAATGGTTAATCAGTTTTATTCATTTTGGTCTTTTGAAAATCAGAAAAAAGGTTACTAGAAAAAAAGTTGCTATTGTATGACTACAAATTTGTATAACGTTTGGAAAAAACACCATTATTATAATAATAAAAAAATTACACCACACATTTTCTGATATATACTAGATTTTATCTTTTTTAAAATTTCTTAATAAATGTCTGTGAGTTTTTGACATTGTTACGAAAAACAGCAACAAACAAAGGATTTTTTTTGACACTGTGTTATACTAACCCCGTGTAAAATGTATCCATACATACATCATAAAAAAAAGAAAGAGAAATTACAACAAAACACCAACTCACCATTTTTTAAAGGTATATCCAATTGCCTTCACCGTAAGTTGTTGTTGTTTGTTGTTGTTGTTTTGAGACTGAATGTAGCTCTGTCGCCAGGCTGGAGTGCAATGGCAAGATCTCGACTCACTGCAATCTCTGCCTCCCAGTTTCAAGTGATTCTCCTGCCCCATCCTCCTGAGTAGCTGGGACTAAAGGTGTGCGCCCCCATGCCAAGCTAATATTTGTATTTTTAGTAGAGATAGGGTTTCACCATGTTCGCCAGGATGGTCTTGGTCTCTTGACCTCGTGATCTGCTCACCTTGGCCTCCCAAAGAGATTACAGGCGTGAGCCAAGGCACCCAGCCCACAGTAAGCTTTAATTTGTCTATGGTGTTTTTTTTTGATTATCCACTATCTTGTTACTTTTAAATAACCATATTTACAAAGATAAGAAAGTCAACCAAAGCATTTATTAAAATATAAAGTTGCTATTATTAAGTAAACAATTTACTGAGAAATAGAATGTACAAATGAATGATGGCTAGATTATATATACAAATAAAACTCTGAATAAACAATCTACAGGAATCAGCCTAGGAAACCAAGCCATTATCTGTTGCACCCAGCCCAGAAGCTAGCCTGCTATTAATAAGCCAGACTTGTAGAAATTCATACTGCTAGCTTTAGCAGTAAATACAAGAAGCCAAACAATATCCTTAGAACAATTGTCACAAAAAAGCCAAAACTTGATTGATAACAGACAGCTTCCTTAATTTTTGTCTTTGCTTCAAACTTAGGACCAACCAGAGAAAGTCAAATATGTACCCCTAGCCAAGCATGTAGAAGGCCTCACTTCTAGTTAGCCCACCTACAGTTTCCCTACACCAAACCTCCAATCAGGGCATACTTAAAATCTTCCCTTTCTTTCACTCTATGATTTTCCCACCTCTCTGTTTGCCTTTGTATCTCTGTCAAAATGCAAGTCATGATGGCTGACACCCTTGCTAGAGCAAGCTCTGAATGAGTACCCTTTGCTTGTTCTCATTTGATTGATCTTTGCTTATTTTCACATAATAAATCCAAATGTATGTAATATTATGCCATCCTGTTGAACAACAACAACAAAACCCTGTTATTGTATTGGACCATTTAAGAGAAATAATACTGTGTAAGAATAGATATAGCGAGTTCCCAGCTAATATGGTGCACAAGAAAGGAAATAAACAAATGAACAAACTTTAAAGCTTAGTAAGCAAGAATAATGTTGATGTAAAAATTTATTTTTCTTTCAAAGAGGAAGTACTTTAAATAATGAATAACAAAAATAATTCTAGTCTATATTGAGTAGTTTTGTGTTAAGTAAGGTTTCAAGTTCTTTGTATATTATCTTTTATAATCCTTACAATAACACTGTAAGATAAATATTTTTATATATCTGAAAGGTGAGGTTCAGATAAATTAAATTTTTTCAATGTTGCATGCTAGAATATGTAACAGGAAGTGAGAAAATAATAAGAATTCTGTTTGACCTTTAAACTCTTGCCATTAACCACTCTCTTATAGTGCTACAACTGAGTACAATTATGTGCCACCCACTCAGAGGTCAGTGACTTGCTCAAAGCCAACAACAAGAAAGATATGAAGCCAAAATCCAACATTTGTTGTATTAGAACTAAAATCTAAGCTCTTTTCATTGTATTACACTACCTCCCAGCACATGAAAATATTCACTCATCGTGTGTTTTTTTTTTCAATCTAGTATATAGAAAATTGTATGTTTGTGGTTGTTAAAAATTCCTAATAAGAATAACCAGATTAAGATGGTGGAGAAAATATTCTAATTCAGAGTTTCTCAAAGCATGTCCTCAGGTCAACATTAAGGGCATTATCTGTGATGTTTTTTGGTAATAAAATGTCTTTGGCAATAAAATCTGTTGAATAAGAAAATTTGGTGGTGAAGCAGTGATCTGTGTTTTGATAAGGTGATTCCGATGTATCCTAAAGCATAATTACTGGCCTAATATTTGAACACCAAGAGAAGTAACTTGAATTAATTACAGTGACTTAAGTTCTTATTATTGCCGTTCACTATTTTTTTTTGTTTGTTTTTTATTTTTTGTTTTTTTTTGAGACAGGGTCTTATTCTACTCCACAGGCTGGAGTGTAGTACCATGATCTCAGCTCAGTGCAGCCTCCATTTCCCAAGCTATAGCAATCCTCCCACCTCCTGAGTAGCTGGGACTACAGGCACATGCCACCACATTTGGCTATTGTTTTATTTTTAAATTTTTTTGTACAGATGAGGTCTCACTATAATATTGCCCAGGCTGGCACTATTTGTTCTTTAATGTTAATTTTATAGTCGTACTTTTATTTAAAATAATATCTTGTGTTACAGATTCCTTCTTTCATCTATCCATTTATTAAGCAAATGTTTATTGAATGCCACTTAGTTACAGTCTTTGCATCCCGAAAGTTTACAGAAAAAGGGTGGAAAACATAAATGAATAGCACATTAAAATAAGACATGCTTAGTTCTATATAAAATTTTTAAAGTGCATTATGGTTTATATCATTACTCTCTTTCTTTGAAAATTTTGATTGAGCTCCACCACCTATGAATTAAACTCTGAAATCCTTCCTGAGATAACCAAGTCCTACTGCTTTCTTCTAACATTCTATGTAAGCTCCAGCCCTAGTCACTATCTTCATATACATTCAGAAAATCCTTTTCTCTTCTTTAATCTTTCTCCCAGGAGTGTTCTCCTACATACTCCCTGCTGATTTAATTTCTACTCATCAAAACTAATCCATGATAAATTCAGAACATCACCTTTGACCTCCACTTTTCATCCTCTACATCATTTCCTAGTCTTTTATTTTGTCACTTCTCCTTTATACTTTCTATTCTACGACCTCAATCATTATTATGGTTTTTGTTTGTTTGTCTTTTGAGACGGAGTCTTGCCCTGTCGCCAGGCTGAAGTGCATTGGCATCACCTCAGCTCACTGCAACCTCCGCCTCCCAGGTTCAAGAGATTCGCCTGCCTCAGCCTCCTGAGTAGCTGAGACTACAGGCGCACGACACCATGCCTAGCTTTTTTTTTTTTTTTTTTTTTTTTTTTTTTAGTAGAGAGGGGGTTTCGCCATGTTTGCCAGGATGGTCTGGATCTCCTGACCTCCGGATCTGCCCATCTCGGCCTCCCAAAGTCCTGGGATTACAGGCGTGAGCCACCACACCCAGCCAATCATTATTATGTGTTTAAATTTCAGGATATTTATCCGCATTATGCTCTTAGCCAAGAATAACATCTGTCCTTACACAACTTAACAGCGTAACCAAATTGAAAGACACAATGCAAATCACCTTTTCCATGGAGTCTCCTTGTCAGAAAAGGATCCTCCTCAAAAAGTTACCCCAGCACTGTGGCTACTAATATGCATATATAAGACATACATTATACATATGTAAAATCAATCATATATTAGGTTTAAATTTTGTGGCTTTATGTACAGAACTCAGCTTTTTACTAAATGATAAATTCCTGGAAGACTAACCAGAGTTTTACATATCTTTACATTTTTTATATCATCTAGTATCCTTTCTTACATATAGGTAAGTTATAAAAACCTGTAATAATTACTTAGGTTACCTTTTTGAAAAAGTTACATCTTTCTTTTTACTCTTTTGACAAAAATAATATTCTTTCTAATTATAAAAAAGAATATGTGCAGTTGTAGAAATATGAATACAGAAAATAATAAAAATTAAACAATCACATGTAATTCTACCAACAAAATAACAGTACTTAATATTTTGATGTATATCGCTTCAGTTTTTTTATGCTTCTGTATGTGTAGGCCTATAGACTACCCAATCTATTTTCACATCAACTTTGGTGTTGAATTTTTTTAACACATCAGTAAGCATCCTTTGGTAACAAAATTATTGTGTACTTTATTACATTTTTATCTCACAGAGATTTTTTTCTCATTTGCATGCAGAGTACACTAAAAAAAAGATGTCTTTTGTATTTTGTATATGAGTTATTATGAAAAGAAGAGCTACTTTATCATATTAAGACTTGATTGAAGCAGGGCACAGTGGCTCATGCCTGTAATCCCAGTGCTTTGGGAGGCTTACACAGGAGAATCAATGAGGCCAGGACTTGGAGACTAGTGTGGTCAACATAGTGAGACCCATATCTACAGAAAATTTAAAAATTAGCGAGGTGTGGTGGTGCGAGCCTGTAGTCCTAGCTACTCAGAAGGCTGGGGTGAGAGGTTGAACCCAGGAGTTTGAGGTTACAGTGAGCAGCACTGCACTCCAGCCTGGGTGACAGACCAAGACCTTGCCTCTTAAAAAAACAAAACAAAACAAAAAAACCTTCATTGAACTAATTTATTGTCAAAAACTTTGAAAAAATAGATGAAAGTCAAGTTTATTGTTACTGAAGAGCATCACCAGTCTCACCAGTCCTTTAGGACTTTTTGAAGATATCATTTATATACCATAAAATATATGCATTTAATTTTTTTCCTAGCATATTTACAGTGTTATGCAACCATCATTACAATCTAAGCTTAGAACATTTTCATCATCAGCAAAATGGAATAAAAGTCACTTTCTATCACCTTCCAACAACGGTTGGCCTCCACCTTCTGTCTCTGTACATTTTCTTATTCTGGACAGTTTATATAAATGAAATATTATCATACATCTTCCTTTGTGACTAGCTCTTTATGAACATAATATTTGTAACATCCATCCATGTTAGAGCATGTATCAGGACTTCATTCTTGTTAGGCCTGAACAACATTCCATTTCATGGATATACCACATATTGCTTAACCATTAATCAGCTTATGGATGTTTGGGTTGTTTCAATTTTTTGCTATTATGAATAATGCTGCTATGAACATTTATGTACAAATTTTCATGCAGACATATATTTTAATTTCTCTTGGGTGAAATTACTAGATTATGTTCTAACTCTACACTAAACATTTTCAGGAATTGCCAAACCATTTTCTAAAGGAGACGTATTAAGGGTTCGTATTTCTCCACAATTCACAATACTTTTTGGTGTTTTTCATTATAGATACCCTAATATGTGTGAATGGGGTTTTGATTTGCATTTCCCTAGTGGCTAATGATGTTGAACATAGTTTCAGATGCAGTTTAGACACTTGTATGTCTTAGGAAAAATATCCATTTAGAATATTTGCCCAACTTTAAATTGGTATATTCATCTTTTTATTATTCAGTTATATGAGTTTTAAAAATGTTTTCCAAATACAAGTTTATTTTCAGGTATATGACTTGTAAATACTTGCCCCCATTTTATGAGTTGTCTTTTTATTTTCCTGACATTGTTGGCTGCACAAAAAATTTTAAATTTAATGAAGTCTAATTTATCTATTCTCTTCTCTTGTTTGTATGTGAGGTGTCATATGTAAGTAGGATTTGCCTAACACAGCTTCATATAGATTTACTCCTAGATTTTTTTTTCCTAAAAACTGTATGGTTTTAACTCTTACACAAATTTTTGATGCATTTTTAGTTAATTTGTGCAGATGGTATATAACGAAGTGGTCCAAATTTATTATTTTGCATGTGGATATTCCAGTACCAGTTATTCCAGCATCCTTTGTTGTAAAAACTGTTTTTCTGCACTAAATTTTCTTGACACTCTTGTTGAAAAGGAGTTGACCATAAGTATAAAGATTTATTTTTGTACTCTTAATTCTGTTCCAATGAATTGTATGTCTGTGTTTACACCAGCACCACACTGTATTGGTTACCGTATGTTTGCACTGTTAAATTTGGAAGAATGAGTCCTCCAAAACTGTTCTTTTTCAATGTTGTTTTGGCTATTTTGTTACCTGCTTTTTTTCCTCTGCCTGGATCATATAATATAAATACACACACACACACATATATATATATCATATATAATATATATAGATATATATCATATATCATAATCATATATACCATATATAATAGATATCATATATTATGAATCATATGTGATATATATCATATATTATGAATCATATGTGATATATATCATATATCATATATATGGTTTATTTTTGTGCTGAAACATGATAATTTTAGATTCAAATTTTTACAATTCTATGTAAGTGGTCCTACTCCCACTCCAGAGCTACTTGTTATTGTTATTTGCCTCAATAAACATTTTTTAAAATTTATTATGCTTATGTATGTGTTTGTTTGGCTACATTATTTCACTAAAGTCTAGTTCTCCGGCAGTCTGCAGACTCTAGTGTCAGTTTTCAGACGGCACCAACATGGACATACACACAGTCACCATAAATCCCTGCCCTTAGAAAAGAAAATGGTTTTAACTACATTTTTTCCAGTGTTTTTTACTCTACTTTTCTCAATAACCTCTGGCAAAACTTCCTCATTGATATCACATCCAGTATCCATTAATTACTACTTGATTGTAGTATTGTTTTGACAAGTCCCTGGGGCATAACATACTCTACATATGATCCAAGCAATTTGGGACTTGTTGGCAACGACAGTCATTGAGGCTGGACCTTGAGACTTGCTCTATCACCCAGTGGGGCTTTTCTTAACTGTCTTTTCTCTAGTTTGTGCTGTTAAACTTTTACCTGATTATGGTTTTGTGTGTTACTATCATGTAGCTGCCAGTCTCTTCTTAATTGTTTACCACTACAATCTCCACTGTTTTTTTCTGTTTTTGTTTCTGTTTTTATTCATAAACACTCTTAAGCTTAAACTTCCCGGCACTCTGTTTCAAATAAACTCAGGTCCCTTAGGGATGAAACTCTTTTCTCACAGCCTGCCTCTCTCATGAGTAGAATCTCTGAGCCACTGAGATGCCGTGGTGTCCATGGACAGTGGCTTCCATCTCTCAAAGTAATGCCCTGACTCAAAAGCAGGCCTCAAGGTAGGAGCAGTAGCCTGTAGTCTTCTCAGTTTTTCTTCTTCAGCTTCAAGTCTCTGCCATATGAGTGAGCTGGGTAAGGGTTTTTGGGGATCCCGTATTCTTAGCCGGTCTTATTTGAGTAGAACTTCTTCCCTGTGAGCAGGAACTGGATGGATGATGAGAGCTACATATCACTCAGCCTTTCTTGCCTGGTGTGAAATTTCTGCAATGTGGAACTGGTGAAGATAAGGAATACTGGTAGCCTGCATCTTCTGGGGAGATGTTATAGCCCTAAACCGGGAACTGGAGGAAGATAATTCAGTGTTTTGTGCTGCAACAGCCTATGGGAGACCTTCTGTCATACTGAGCTCAAGAGATGGGCGATGGGAAAAGAGGTTGCCACACATCCTCATTGTTCTTACCATGATTTAGTACATTTTCTTGAATAAATGTTTCCGTATTATTTATGCCCTTAGGACAACTTATAGAGATTTTAAATGAATGCTTTATTTTATGATATTCATCACTCACGGTTGTTTCTATGGAAGGAAGTTTTGCTGAGCTCCTTGTTTGCTGAGCCACCATCCATAAGTGCTTCTACGGGACCAACTTTTTAAAAAAAAAATATTTACTCTTTCTCAGCTATCTTGAGCCCTTTACAGATATTAGTACATTAAACCCTTGTGACTGAACTAGTAATATACTTATTTCACCAAGAAGAAAATGGAGGCTTGCCCAAGGACACATAACTGGTAAGTGTAAATGTTATGTAAATCCAGTTTTGTCTCAATCCAAAGCTCATGCTCTTCATCACTGTGTTAATATGCAGAGAAAAGAGTGATGTTCTGAAGATTAGGACCTGGTCAGCCTTCAAACACTGAACTCAGGAGAGAGGCTTCAGGAGATAAAATATTGGGTAATTGGGGAATTGTATAACTAGGTAAAAAGACAAGAAAGTCATGGTTGGTAAGTACCAAGAAAATTCAACTCATTTTTACAATTTCACTAAAGCTGGCTATTCATAAAAATTGCTTTGGGCTTACTGAAGTGGAATAAAAAATACACAAAGGCATGTAATGGATTATATACCAATTTTCAGATTCAGCAAAGCATTTGAAATTGCTAACCAGTCTGAATATCACTATGGGTATGTAATAATCTGCTCAGGAGGAGCCCTTAAGGCAACCAAAACTTTTCACTGCTAACACAGCACTTAAACTCATTAGCCAATTACTGCTATTTCATCATCTTCCATTAAAAGATAAAGAATGATATAGGGGGAAAGAATCAAGTAAACCACAAATGCTTAAGAAGGATTAATTTACAGATTAGGATATGTATTCTTTAGTATTAGGAACAAAATAACATATAAACATTTTAATCCTGGTTCTCATCCACTTGCCACACTAACTCTAATAGACAGTTGAAACCTGATGCTTGATCCTGAGATAAAGAACATTTTTATTCACATATTAGATTCAACAGTCAATAGTGACTCATTATATTTTATGTCATGTGATTACTTGTTAATTCCTTTTAAACAAAATTTTACAATAGGGCTATCTTTTATTTTCTCTCTCAGAATACTTTCTTCAACTACCGTAGGGTCCTATTCCTTTTTCCAGGGCCTAGAATCACCTATACAAAATGCAAGCATACAAAAATTTGTCGGGCATGGTGGCAGGCACCTGTAATCCTAGATTCTCAGGAGGCTGAGGCACAAGAATAGCTTGAACCCAGGAGACGGAGGTTGCAGTGAGCTGAGATAGTGCCACTGCACTCCAGCCTGGGCAACAGAGTGAGACTCCGTCTTAAAAAAAAAAAAAAAAAAAAAAAAGCAGTACTGTCACCTAAAATACAATTGATAAAGCATGCAGAAAGAAAACCAATGTGTTAGGAATTTTTTAGTTTGTTTTTGCCTGATTACTATATTTATCACATTGAATAAGATTGTAACAAGACTAATGTAGAATGAAAAATACTTAAGCACGTCGCTTACCCTCAAGAAAATTCTAGTCTAGAGTACAATTCTAAAATGATACTCTGATTCACAATAATACCACATAAAGGATAATAACAACCATTATTGTCTTTGTCAAGCTACTGTACTTTGGACATTATTTCTAATCCTCAATTTAATCAGGTGGATATAATGATATTCTGTTTTTGCAGATATAAAACTGAGATAACATAAGTAGTGAGCAGTAGAACCAAGCCTCATGGTTCTATCTACAAAATCCACTCCTATGTATCTCTGTTCATGTCCTTGATTTATTGTAGTAGCAGACATATGGGCTATTGTAAAGTGGGTTACAGAGTTCTTAGTTCTATTCCTCCTAGCACACCCATACCGTGATGTCAAATTAAGCATCCTTTAATACGAGGCAGTTCAAATAGGGAAAATGTGACTTGTAAGTTCTACAAACAAGAAAAAAAAATTGTACTAACTACCTCAACTCCTCCACATAGGAAGAGTATATCTTATCACAGGGCCAAATATCATGGGGCCTCTGATCAGCTGCCTAGGGTCCCATACTAATATCCTTCTCAAAGCCACAGAACCAGAGGTAGTTCTAAGGATGCCTACTTAGGATGGATGTATGCTGCACGGTCACTTTTGACCAAGGTTCGGATTGTTTATGGGGCTCCTCTCAACTGACTGTTGTCCGTAGAACAAACTGAAGTCTCATTTCCCTAATACAATGTCATAAATTACAGACTCTCATTGACTCTACTAAATTAGGTGACTTAACACTATACATTTGATAAATTAAACTTTGTTTTCTATTTTGGTCTTGTTTAACAGTACAACATTGATTTAAAATAAATTTTGCAACAAGGTATTCACTAATTAAGGGTTGGCCTACCCCCAATGTTACTGTGTTTAGAGATAGGGTCTTTAAGGAGATATTAATAATTAATTTTAAATTAGGTCATACAGGGGACCCTAATCCTATAGAAATGGTATCGTTCTAAGGAGGAGAAGATACCAGATCTCTCTTTCCATGCATAGAGAGAAAAGGTCATATGAGGAGGTAGCAAGAAGGCAGCTTACAAATCAAATAGAAAGGCCTTACTAGAAACCAACCCTGTTAGCACCTTAATCTTGTACTTCCAGGCTCTAAAACTGTATACATACAGATTTGTGTTATTTAAGCCACCCAGTCTATGGTATTTTGCTATGACAGCCCCAGCTAATACAATAACTAAGGGCAGATTTAAGCTTATGGAAATGTATTGTTGTTGTTGCTAGCACATATTAAAATAATAGTACTACCACTAATGATGATATTCTGCACTTAAATACTTTTAGACACAAGGCTCAATAACAAACTTTATTTTTGAAAATGCTTCAACTTCTTCTTACCTTCCAGTGCAACCTCCAATTTGAATTTACAACCTATACATGAAAAATACTGCATCTACTTTCCAAGGGTTGGAAAAAGTGTTTACAGATCTTCTGTTTATTTTGTCTCTGTATCTGTTGAGTGTCAATGAAATAACAATAAAAATGTTGATTATTGGAAAAAAACTATTCTAAAACGAATAGAGAAGAGAGACTAATGGGTCTCATTCAAAGGATGTTGATTATTCACAGCAAGCTTCATGTAAATGGTAGGTATTCGGCTAACTCTGTCAAAATATGAGGAAGGGGAAATTAGAACAACTGATTCACAGATTCTCATAAGGCAAAATTCTTACCCAAGGAAAATAAAAAGAGTTATCTCTACCTATTAGATGTTTTAATATAAACACAAATAAAATAACTTATAGAAAAATATATATTTCCACAAATGTAAAAGCCTTAAAATTATAATTTTGATTTTATGTTGTAATAATGAAAAATGAAATTTAGACCATTAATATGAAAACCATTATGTAGAGACAATCTACTAGGTTGGTGCAAAAGTAGTTGCTTGTTTTGGCCTGAAATGTCATGGCAAAAAAGATATTTACTTTTGCACCAACCTTATAGAACCATCAGACATGGTGCAAAGTGATGTTTTTTAATTTTTAATTATTTAATTTTTTATTATACTTTAAGTTCTAGGGTACATGTGCACAATGTGCAGGTTTGTTACATAGGTATACATGTGCCATGTTGGCTTGCTGCACCCATCAACTCGTCATTTACATTAGATATTTATCCTAATGCTATCCCTCCCCTAGGTCCCCACCCTCTGACAGGCCCAGGTGTGTGATGTTCCCAGCCCTGTGTCCAAGTGTTCTCATTGTTCAACTCCCACCTATGAATGAGAACATGCAGTGTTTGGTTTTCTGTCCTCCTGATAGTTTGCAAAGAATGATGGTTTCCAGCTTCAACCATGTCCCTACAAAGGACATGAACTCATCCTTTTTCATGGCTGCATAGTATTCCATGGTGTATATGTGCCACATTTTCTTTATCCAGTCTATCATTGATGGACATTTGGGTTGGTTCCAAGTCTTTGCTATTGTGAATACTGCTGCAATAAACATATGTGCGCATGTGTTTTTATAGTAGCATGATTTATAATCCTTTGGGTATATACCCAGTAATGGGATCACTGGGTCAAATGGTATTTCTGGTTCTAGATCCTTGAGGAATCATCACACTGTCTTCCACAATGGTTGAACTAATTTACACTCCCATCAACAGTGTAAAAGCATTCCTATTTCTCCACATCCTCTCCAGCATCTGTTGCTTCCTGACTTTTTAATGATTGCCATTCCAACTGGCACGAGATGGTAGCTCACTGTGGTTTTGATTTGCATTTCTCTGATGACCAGTGATGATGAGCATTTATTCATGTGTCTGTTGGCTGCATAAATGTCTTCTTTTGAGAAGTGTCTGTTCATATCACTTACCAACTTTTTTTATGAGGTTGTTTGTTTTTTCTTGTAAATTTGTTTAAGTTCTTTGTAGATCCTGGATATTAGCTCTTTGTCCGATGGGTAGATTGCAAACATTTTCTTTCATTCTGTAGGTTGCCTGTTCACTCTGATGATAGTTTCCTTTGCTGTGCAGAAGCTCTTTAGTTTAATTAGATCCCATTTGTCTATTTTGGCTTTTGTTGCCCTTGCTTTTGGTGTTTTACTCATGAAGTCTTTGCCCATGCCTATGTCCTGAATGGTATTGCCTAGATTTTCTTCTAGGGTTTTTATGGTTTTAGGTCTTACATTTAAGTCTTTAATCCATCTTAAGTTAATTTTTTATATAAGGTGTAAAGAAGGGATCCAGTTTCAGCTTTCTACATATGGCTAGCCAGTTTTCCCAGCACCATTTGTAAAATAGGCAATCCTTTCCCCATTTCTTGTTTTTGTCAGGTTTGTCAAAGATCAGATGGTTGTACACGTGTGGGGTTATTTCTGAGGCCTCTGTTCTGATCCATTGGTCTACATATCTGTTTTGGTAACAGTACCATGCTGTTTTGCTTCCTGTAGCTTTGTAGTATAGTTTGAAGTCAGGTAGCATGATGCCTCCAGCTTTCTTCTTTTTGCTTAAGATTGTCTTAGCTATGTGGGCTCTTTTTTGGTTCCATATGAACTTTACAGTACTTTTGTCCAATTATGTGAAGAAAGTCATTGGTAGCTTGATGGGGATGGCATTGAGTCTACAAATTAATGTGGGCAGTATGGCCATTTTTACAATATTGATTCTTCCTATCTATGAGTATGGAATGTTCTTCCATTTGTTTGTGTCCTCTTTTATTTTGTTGAGGAGTGGTTTGTAGTTCTCCTTGAAGAGGTCCTTCACATCCCTTGTAAGTTGGATTCCTAGGTATTTTATTCTCTTTGTAGCAATTGTGAATGCGAGTCCACTTATGATTTGGCTCTCTATTTATCTGTTTTTGGTGTATAGGAAAGCTTGTGATTTTTGCACATTGATTTTGTGTCCTAAGACTTTGCTTTAGTTGCTTATAAACTTAAGGAGATTTGGGGCTGAGATGATGGGATTTTCTAAATGTACAATCATATCATCTGCAAACAGGGACAATTTGACTTCCTCCTTTCCTAATTGAATACCCTTTATTTCCTTCTCCTGCCTGATTGCCCTGGCCAGAACTTCCAATACGCTGTTGAATAGCAGTGGTGAGAGAGGGCATCCTTGGCTTGTTCTGGTTTTCAGATGGAATGCTTCCAGTTTTTGCCCATTCAGTGTGATATTGGCTGTGGGTTTGTCATAAATACCTCTTATTATTTTGAGATACATACCATCAATACCTAGTTTATTGAGAGTTTTTAGCATGAAGCACTGTTGAATTTTGTCGAAGGCCTTTTCTGCATCTGTTGAGATAATCATGTGTTTCTATAATTGTTTCTGTTTATGTGATGGATTATGTTTATTGATTTGCATATGTTGAACCAACTTTGCATCCCAGGGATGAAGCCAACTTGATCATAGTGGATAAGCTTTTTGGTGTGCTGCTGAATTCAGTTTGCCAGTATTTTACTGAGGATTTTTGCATCATTGTTCATCAGGGATACTGGTCTAAAATTCTCTTTTTTTGTTGTGTCTCTGCCCAGCTTTGGTATCAGGATGATGCTGGCCCCATAAACTGAATTAGGGAGGATTCCCTCTTTTTCTATTGATTGGAATAGTTTCAGAAGGAATGGTACCAGCTTCTCTTTGTACCTCTGGTAGAATTTGGCTGTGAATCCATCTGGTTCTGGACTTTTTATGGTCAGTAAGCTATTAATTATTGCCTCAATTTCAGAACCTGTTATTGGTCTATTCAGAGATTGAACTTCTTCCTGGTTTAGTCTTGGGAGGGTGTATGTGTCCAGGAATTTATCCATTTCTTCTATATTTTCTACTTTATTTGCATAGAGGTGTTTATACTATTCTTTGATGGTAGTTTGTATTTCTGTGGGATCAGTGGTGATATCCCTTTTATCATTTTTTGTTGCGTCTATTTGATTCTTCTCTCTTTTCTTCATTATCTGTCTAATATTGACAGTGGGGTGTTAAAGTCTCCCATTATTATTGTGTGGGAGTCTAAGTCTCTTTGTAGGTTTTAAAGACTTGCTTTATGAATCTGGGTGCCCCTGTATTGGATGCATATATATTTAGGATAGTTAGCCCTTCTTGTTGAATTGATCCCTTTACCATTATGCAATGGCCTTTTCTCTTTTGATGTTTGTTCGCTTAAAGTCTGTTTTACCAGAGACTAGGATTGCAACCCTTGCTTTTTTTTGCTTTCCATTTGCTTAGTAGATCTTTCTCTATCCCTTTATTTTGAGCTTAGTGTGTCTCTGCACATGAGATGGGTCTCCTGAATACAGCACATTGATGGGTCTTGACTCTTTATCCAATTTTCCAGTCTATGTCTTTCAATTGGGGCATTTAGCCCATTTACATTTAAGTTTAATATTATCATGTGTGAATTTGATCCTGTCATTACGATGTTAACTGGTTATTTTGCCTATTAATTGATGTAGTTTCTTCAAGGCATCGATGGTCTTTGCAATTTGGCATGTTTTTGCAGTAGCTGGTACCAGTTGTTCCTTTCCATGTTTAGTGTTTCCTTCAGGAGCTCTTGTAAGGCAGGCCTGGTGATGACAAAATCTCTCAGCAAGTGCTTGTTTGTAAAGGATTTTATTTCCCCTTCCCTTGTGAAGCTTAGTTTGGCTGGATATGAAATTCTGGTTTGAAAATTATTTTCTTTAAGAATGTTGAATATTGGCCTCCACTCTCTTCTGGCTTGTAGGATTTCTGCGGAGAGATCTGCTATTAGTCTGATAGGCTTCCCTTTATGGGTAACGCCCGATTTTTCTCTCTAGCTGCCCTTAACATTTTTTCCTTCATTTCAACCTTGGTCAGTCTGACAGTTATGTGTTTTGGGGTTGCTCTTCTCGAGGAGTATCTTTGTGGTGTTCTCTGTATTTCCTGAATTTGAATGTTGACCTGCCATGCTAGGTTGGGGAAGTTCTCCTAGATAATACCCTGAAGAATGTTTTCTAACTTGATTCCATTCTCCCCATCACTTTCAGGTACACCAATCAAACGTAGATTTGGTCTTTTCACATAGTCCTAATTTCTTGGAGGATTTCTTCATTTCTTTTTACTGTTTTCTCTAATCTTGCCTTCTCGCTTTGTTTCATTAATTTGATCTTCAATCACTGATATCCTTTTTTCCATTTGATCGAATCGGCTATTGAAGCTTGGAAGCTTGTGCATGCATCACAAAGTTCTCATGCTGTGGTTTTCAGCTCCATCAGGTCACTTATGGTCTTCTCTACACTGTTTATTCTAGTTAGCCATTCATCTAATCTTTTTTCAAGGGTTTTAACTTCCTTGCGATGGGTTAGAACATGCTCCTTTAGCTCCGAGAAGTTTGTTATTACTGACCTTCTGAAGTCTACTTCTGTCAACTCATCAAAGTCATTCTCTGTCCAGTTTTGTTCCACTGCTGGCGAGGAGCTGTGATCCTTTGGAGGAGAAGAGGCACTCTGGTTTTTGAATTTTCAGCTTTTCTGCTTTGGTTTCTCCCCATCTTTGTGGTTTTATCTACCTTTGGTTTTTGATGATGGTGACCTACAGATAGGGTTTTGGTGTGGATGTCCTTTTTGTTGCTGTTGATGCTATTCCTTTCTGTTTGTTAGTTTTCCTTTTAACAGTCAGGTCGCTCAGCTGCAGATCTGTTGTAGTTTGCTGGAGGTCCACTCCAGACCCTATTTGCCTGGGTATCACCTGCAGAGGCTGCAGAACAGCAAATAATGCAGAATGGCAAATATTGCTGCCTGATCCTTCCTTTGGAAGCTTTGTCCCAGAGGGGCACCCACCTATATGATGTGTCTGCCAACCCCTACTGGGAGGTGTCTCCCAGTCAGGCTACACAGGGGTCAGGGACCCACCTGAGGAGGCCATCCATCTGTTCTCAGAGCTTGAATGCCATGCTGGGAGAACCACTGCTGTCTTCAGAGGTGTCAGACAGGACGTTTAAGTCTGCAGAAGTTGTCTGCTGCCTTTTGTTCAGCTATGCCCTGCTCACAGAGGTGGAATCTACAGGGGCAGTAGGACTTGCTGAGCTGCAGTGGGCTCCACCCAGTTTGAGCTTCCCAGACATTTTGTTTACCTACTCAAGCCTCAGCAATGGCGGACGCCCCTTCCCCCGCCAGGCTGCAGAATCACAGGTGGATCACAGACTGCTGAGCTAGCAGTGAGCAATGCTCCGTGGGTGTGGGACCCACTGAGCCAGGCATGGGAGGGAATCTTCTGGTCTGCTGGTTGCTAAGTCCATCAAAAAGCACAGTATTTGGGTAGCAGTGTCCCGATTTTCCAGGTAGAGTCTGTCATGGCTTCCCTTGGCTAGGAAAGGGAAATCCCCTGACCCCTTGTGCTTCCCAGGTGAGATGATGCCCCACCCTCCTTCGGCTCACCCTCTGTGGGCTGCACCCACTGTCCAACCAGTCCCAATGAGATGAACCAGGTACCTCAGTTGGAAATGCAGAAATCACCTGTCTTCTGTGTCGATCTCGCTGGGAGCTGCAGACTGCAGCTGTTCCTATTCAGCCATCCTGGAGGCGACCATCAGTGCAATGTGTTTAAAACAGCCATCAAGGATTTAGAATATTTAATTGAAAAAAAAAAAAAAACACCACCAACAAAAAAATACCTAGTTGAGCTTGGATAAGCTACATTTTCTCAAGGCTCTCTTTGACAACCATATTTTAAGAAGAAATGAGTGTATGTATAACGCAATATTTCAGATTTCCTTTAAAAAAAAATCTTCATACATTTAAGGAATTATATTTAGAACTAAGTTATAATTGTTTCATGATGGAGAGAGATGCATGCTCTTTTTCTGCATCCTTCATGTTGAGTTGTGATCAGAACAAAGTTATCTACATTGGAATGTGAAGCTAGCCAACATAAAAAAATGTGGAAATATGTGTGCTAATACTACAATAAATGAACTCTTATGGAAGTTCACCTACTGCTGGTGGCTGACATCCCGTGAGCGTATACCCCCACTGACTTTCAAGAGATGTGTGGTTCAAGTTCCCAGAAGAAAAAGAAAATAAAAGAAAAACCTATGGGAACCAAGAGTACATCATTCAGGAAAAAGTTCAATAAGAAAGTATTTCCGTAGAGATTACAGTGATTACTGGTAGAGCAAACATTCGTCTCAGAGTTGAAAGGTTAGTTGTCTTCAAATTAGATGATGAAGCCACTGGCACTATTACTAAGTTTGCCAGCAATGGAATGTCTCATAGCTTAGAAAATACAATAAAATCAGAAGTGATGTTAATTATTTGAACTAGCTAAAGCAATATAAGCAATGATAAAATTAGTAGGGCTAGTTTTGCAATTATGAGTAGAAGTTGAGCAATTAATTTATATAAAGTGGAATGCAACTGACATTGTTTAAGTGTAACTATACAGAAACATGGATCAGAACTTAGGAAAAATACAATACTAATTATTATATAGAAAATAATGTGAAGAACCCTTGATTATTCTTTTTAATATGAATTAACCAATCTAATAAAATGATCATTGTTTTTAATTATTGTAATTATAGCATAAAAATAGAGAGACAAGGATTTTTTATAAAAAAACAAATTTCCCTTTGTCTCAGCCCCTAAAGTAGGAATAATACAGTGAACATCTATAATTTTTTTAAAAAATTCATAAATATATAAAAATGAGAAAATGTATAAATGATACCTTGTAACATAGAGAGGAACACTATAGGTGTTTGCTCTGTTTCACTCAATATTTATTCAAAAAATTGATTGTTGCTGGGCATGGGTGGCTCACGCCTCTAATCCTACCACTGTGGGAGGTCGAGCAGGATTGTTGGAGGCCAGGAGTTCGAGACCAGTCTGGGCAACATAGCAAGACCTTGTCTCTAAAAAATATAACGGCAAAATCAAAAAACAAAAAATGAATTGTAACAAAGGCAACAGGAATTTCTGTCTATAACGTGGAAACAATGGAAGAACAAAACCACCTTTAAGCTGCCTTTGTACACACCACGTAATGGCATCTTTCAGGTATTAAATTATGAGAGTTAATAGCACGATTTTAATGCTTTAAATGTCTCCTATATTTTCACTTATCCTCAATATAACTGTTCATGATTGCTTAATTCTTAATTCTTTTTTCTTCCTTATTTTCATTTTCTTTTTTTCAGATGCAGAGTGACCCTGTGTTTTATTCTAAGAGACTTGACAGGTTGAAGAAACAGCATTGAGCTTGCATCACATTATTGGAAACTGAAAACATTTAATAACTTGCATCTCTAAAATATGCAACAAAACTCTAAATAAGGTCAACATAGGTAAAACATGTCAAAAAAAGTGTATATAATTTGCTGAGAAGCAATACATTTAGATATATCTAATAGTCTCTATTTGACAATATGTGCTACAACAGCTACAGGATGGAAACTGCTTTTCTATCCAATTTAAAAGCATGAATGTTCTCCTTTTTACCCTAGAGCTTAAAGGCCATTTATAGAAGTAGGCCAATATGAGGTATTACCACAATAAACTGTTGTTTTACTTCCTTTTTGTTGCAAAAATTAGGGAAAAAACTGCAATGTTGTTGAGTCATAAAATATGTTAGCAATAAAACAAATGTAAGTTATCAAGTTTATTTAATTCCTATGGTTATGGTCATCACTCAGTTATCTCTTTATGGCCTTTCATATAATTGAAAATAATCTATTTCGAAAAAATATCGAAGTTAGAATAACTTTTTTTTCCAAAATGCTATAATGGCCAAAATCATCCTTATAAAACAAATATAAGAAATTTATTTTACTTGTTAAATGCAGAAAATAGGATTTGAAAATTTATTTCAAAACTAAATCTCAATGACCATGCTGTTACAACATACTTGGGTCTCTTATTTAAAGCAATTATTTTTATTTGACATAATCAGATTATGATCAATTATATGGGGCAAACCCATGTTAAGTAATAAAATATACTGAAACAAAACCCTAATTACATTTTTCCCCATTCAGGATGCACAGTAGTTGAAACACAAAAAAAACTAAAACTTACTTATTGTTATGTTTCCTAATAAGAATGTTTTTCCTATTTTAAATACTAATATTTGCAATAAAGTATATTATAAATAAGCATAAAGTTTTGTAATTGGTCTGAGTTACAAGAATTGTAATTAATGGAAATGACAATAAAAAGTAGATAAAGACTATAATAGTATCTATTTTATAAATTGTTTAAATATTATTAAAATATTATTCAAATGGTTTCACAATAGGTAAGTTAATATTCTATGCATCTGATTCTAATTAGCAAATAAACCAATTTTTATAAGTTGTCAACAAATATACAGAGAGTATATGGAGAATTTATGTTACATATCACCTGAGTTTCTTTAAAATATGAACTATGTCAACATTAATGGCACTTTGTATTGACTTTAGTTTGAAAATGTATCCCATCAGAAATTACTTCTGAATTTTTCTGGAGGATTTAATAATACAACAGAAGTTTTCAAGTCTATCAACTACGATCACAGTGGAGAACACACACTCGACAGCTCACAACTCTCAACAGATATGAAGAATGATCCAGTGCAACGGGATAAAACGTCACTAAATTGTAAGGAGGATCATATTTAGAGTAACCTCTGGCTTTCACTGAGTTCTCAAGTCTATTATAAAAGTGAAGTCAGAGTATCCACACTCAAAATAAGATTTAGCTTTTCACAGTGAGCCAAGAGAGAACCCGTGTTGTATAAATAAGTCACACATCTCTCAGGCTTTATCATTTCAAAATTCAAAAGTGCCCGGGACATCTACCATTCTTAACCTCTCTGGCAATAATTGTTTTGAGTACTGCAGGGCTAACCCTCTCATGCCCTTTATTCCTGTTTAAGTCCTCCCTCACAAGAATTCACATTCTTGTTCTACATTGTCTGTTTCAGTAGCTCTCAATGTTATATTTTTTAATCTCAAGATAACTTTACACTCTTAATTTTATGAATCTGTCTTTATTTATTACTGGAATGCTTCTATAAACACAAATTTTTCTTCACCAATTATTTAGTTACCCCAATGCAGAATTCATGAATGAAAAATATAATGCATGTTTATTTCCCTATATTTACCAGTTGCCAAGATGATTAGTTGATTTCCTTTGTTTTCTCCAAAGCAGGGGTGGGGGAAATAGATTTTCTTTTTAAATTTATTTCAAACTCATGTTTTTTATATATCTTATGTACTGTAATTTATTGCTCTTAGAATTCCTTTGGATTGCTCAAGTTGCCCCACATCTAGCCAATGAGAAACTCTATAAATGAACTTTTAGCACTCTGATTGTGATGCTAGTAGTCATCAATTACTCTTACGCTTTCCACATTGTAATCAGCCACTTCTCTATCAAGATCTGATTACATTCAATGAGAAGTGTCATTCAAAGAGTACATTCTGGATACCAAGGAAACTCATACTGATTATTCATAATTTCCAGAAATTTTCATTGGCCGGAACTAAGAAAGACAAATGTACATATGTGCGTTTTGTATGTATGTGACTACTTAATTTTAAAATTTTGTTTTGCTTGGATTTTTACTGAAATGCAACATATGTACAGATTACTGTATGTTTCATAAAGGTAGATAAATTTTCACAAACTAAGCACATTCATGAGTCTAAATCCAGATTAATAAACTGAACTTTATCATTCTCCTATAAGCTCCCTGGTGCTCTCTGTTAATATCTACTTATCCTAAGTCATACTACTTTGACTTCTAACAGCATAGATAACTTTTCATATTTCCATCTATTATAAGCTGTATGAATGCATACAGTATTTACTACTTATCTTCTAGCTTCATCCTTACATTATATTTACAATATTAAACAATTATGTTGTTTTTGTTTAGATCTAATATATACTTGGTAAACTTTTGTTCATTCTGGCAGTTGTTAACAGAGACTTATGTTTAGCCAGCTATATGCTGGCTATGTACAAAAATATGTTTATAATAATATACTATTATGTAATATAAATATAATTTAGTACAAAATAATTATAGTATTCTATAGTATATTTATATTTGTATATTATATATTTATTAAATATATTACTGTACACTCATGCTCTTATAATGATATTTTGGTAAACAACAGACCACATATGTGATGATGGTCCCGTAAGATTATAATGGAGCTAAAAAAATTGTATTTGCTAGTGATGCTGTAGCTGGCATAATGTCACAGCACAATGCATTATTCACATTTTTGGTGATGCTATTGAAAATAAACCTACTGTTCTGCAAGTTGTGTAAAAGTGTATAGTAATGTCCTAGGCCTTCACATTCACTCATCACTCACTCACTGACTCACCCAGAGCAACTTCTAGGCCTGCAAACTTTTTTCATGGCAAGTATTCTACACAGGTGTAGCACTTTTTCTCTTTTATGCCATATTTTAACTGTACCTTTTCTAGGTTTAGATACCCAAACACCATTGTGTCACAATTGCCTCAGTATTTAGTACAGTAATATGGTGTCCAAATTTGTATCCTAGAAGCAATAGGCTATACTATGTAGCTTGGGTGTGCAGTTGAAGAAATTGTCTAAGGATGCGTTTCTCAGAAAATATTCCTGTCATTAAGCAACTAATTACTATTTTAACTCTTAACATTTTACACCTTTTATTGCAAGAGCCATTGAAAAATGGGCAGATTGTCCAGAGAGTTGATAAACCATCCACAATTCTAGTATCCACAGCTATCTGGTATTGTTGAGTATTGGAACATCCTGCTTAATAAACAATTCAATGAGATTTCAGGCACAACCTGGGGTTCACACACTGAGTGAGGAAGTATAATGACTGAATGCACCCAGTCCCACAAGCAGATTATCTCCTCTTTTATGCTGTCTATGTAATGGTCAGGATGAAAGGGCTGAAAATTATATATATGACAATTTGGAATTCTGCCCTGACTGTTATTGGGCATGTTTCTTTCTTCCCCCTAACATCTCTAGGCCAGCCTGATTGGTACAACCTCAAAGTGGCAGCCCAGCCAAAAGGGGCTTAGGGAGTTCCATTAGTTTCTGATTGCTGCTGTAACAAATTACCATAAGAATATAGCTTAAATTTTTTTTAAAGTATTACCTCTTAGATCTGGATTTCAGAAGTCTGAATGGATCTTGCAGGTTAAAATCAAGGTATTAGCAAAGGTGTGCTCCTTTGTGGAGGTTCTAAAGGAAAATCCATTTATTCACCTTTTCCAGTTTCTACAGGCACCTACATTCTTTGCCTTGTGATCCCTTTCCCCATCTTCAAAATCAGCAGTATAGCATCTTCAATTCTGCCTCTGACTCTAACTTTTCTGTCTCCCCATTAACTTGTAGGACTCTTGTGATTACATGAGACCCACCCAGGATAAACTCTTCATCTCAAAATCTTTACCTTAATCACATCTCTGCCAAGTCCCTTTCGCCTTTTGCCCTAGAATGTAGATATCTTGAGGCAAGCAGGAATGTGGGGCATTATGCTGCCTACCATAGGAATTAAAACGATTCTGATTTAGCCAAGTTAAATCTCTTGTTAGACTTACGTTGTCCTAGATCAGACATCAGAAAACATTTTCTGTAAAGTGTCCAAAAGAATTAGAAATATCCAAAAAATAAATGTGCATTCTAAACATATATAATATGTAACTTAAAATACAAATAAAAATGAAATTGCATTTTGCATTAAAATGGGAAAATATAAAGAAATATATATATTTAATAGCTTGGTTTTTATATTTGTCACTCTCTTTCTTGATCGGTATGTCAGTCGTTACAATATGCATTGAGAGGTGACAGCGTGCTGGCAGTCCTCATAGCCCTCGCTCGCTCTGGGTGCCTCCTTTGCGTGGGCACTGCGTGGGTGCGCTGTGGGAGCCCCTTTCCGGGCTGGCCAAGGCCAGAGCCCACTCCCTCAGCTTGCAAGGAGGTGTGGAAGGAGAGGCGCGAGTGGGAACCCGGGGCTGCGCGCCGCGCTTGCGGGCCAGCTGGAGTTCCGGGTGGGCGTGGGCTTGACAGGCCACCAGGCAGTGAGGGGCTTAGCACCCGGGCCAGTGGCTGCGGAGGGTGTACTGGGTCCCCCAGCAGTGCCGGCCCACTGGCGCTGCGCTCAATTTCTCACCGGGCCTTAGCTGCCTTCCCGCGGGGTAGGGCTCCGGGACCTGCAGCCTGCCATGCCTGAGCCTCCCACCCCCTCCATGGGCTCCTGTGCAGCCCAAGCCTCCCCGACGAGCGCCGCCCCCTGCTCCACCGCACCCAGTCCCATCAACTGCCCAAGGGCTGAGGAGTGTGAGGGCATGGCGCAGGACTGGCAAGCAGCTCCACCTGCCGCCCAGGTGCGGGATCCACTGGGTGAAGCCAGCTGGGCTCCTGAGTCTGGTGGGTAAGTGGAGAGTCTTTATGTCCAGCTCAGGGATTGTAAACACACCAATCAGCACCCTGTGTCTAGCTCAGGGTTTGTGAGTGCACCAATGGACACTCTGTATCTAGCTGCTCTGGTGGGGCCTTGGAGAACCTTTATGTCTAGCTCAGGGATTGTAAATACACCAATCAGCACTCTGTATCTAGCTCAAGGTTTGTAAACACACCAATCAGCAAGCTGTGTTTAGCTCAAGGTTTGTGAATGCACCAATCGACACTCTGTATCTAGCTGCTCTGGTGGGGCCTTGGAGAACCTTTGTGTCTATACGCTGTATCTAACTAATCTGATGGGGAGGTGGAGAACCTTTATATCTAGCTCAGGGATTGTAAACGCACCAATCAGCACCCTGTCAAAACAGACCACTTGGCTCTACCAATCAGCGGGATGTGGGTGGGGCCAGATAAGAGAATAAAAGCAGGCTGCCTAAGCCAGCAGTGGCAACCCACTCAGGTCCCCTTCCACACTGTGGAAGCTTTCTTCTTTCACTCTTTGTAATAAATCTTGCTGCTGCTCACTCTTTGGGTCCACACTGCTTTTATGAGCTGTAACACTCACCGCAAAAGTCTGCAGCTTCACTCCTGAAGCCAGCGAGACCATGAGCCCACCGCGAAGAACGAACAACTCCAGACGTGCCGCCTTAAGAGCTGTAACACTCACCACGAAGGTCTGCAGCTTCACTCCTGAGCCAGCGAGACCATGAACCCACCAGAAAGAAGAAACTCTGAACACATCCGAACATCAGAAGGAACAAACTACAGACGCGCCACCTTAAGAGCTGTAACACTCACCGCGAGGGTCCGCGGCTTCATTCTTGAAGTCAGTGAGACCAAGAACCCACCAATTCCAGACACAGTATGACTGACAATATAGAGATTATTTTCATATTTTAAAAATAATACTCTTGTAGCCAATTAATTATCATAGAATGCTTATAGGTAAAATAAAATAGAAAACATTAATTATTGAATATAATTTCTAAAAGGATGATATAGATTTTCATCATGAACACAATTTTAAGTGTTTATCAAAATAAGATGTTTTAGACAATGTTAACCATCATTTTCTAAGTGGTAGAGGCATAAGTGATTTTAATTATTTTTCTATATCTATGCATATGTAATTTTTTCTATAAGAATTATTAAAATAATTCATGCTACTTAAAATTATATTCTTTCTCATGGCTCACTGTGATACTCATTTACTAAAATTAAAGTTAGCATATTTACATGGGAAATATATATTGCATAGGGACCAATATTTTTAAATAAGTGATTTAACACAAAGGCATTTACCTGGAATTCAATTAAATCAATATATGCAAACAGGTGTTATTTTGACCCTTATTTTTACTTTATTTTCTTACCCTTCTGAATAAACTTTCAATGACTTTAAATGGAACTTGGGTCTCAGGAGTCATCACTAGATATTTAACACAGCTTACTTGGCTCAGAAGGAGCAAATGGGCTATAATTTCAGAGAAAGGGAAAAAACTGATGAATGACAAAGACTTGTAACATTGTCCATAGCATGGCTGAAGTTGGGGAAACCAGATAATTTAGCTGCTGTAATATTTAACAACATAGTATTACAGGAAGAGACATAAATTGAGGTAAAAGCATTCTTTGAAATATATCCCATTTGTACCCATTTTTTTCCATTTCTGCTATCTAGTTAGTCTAAAACAGTATAAATTATTTACTCATTTCTATCTGGTTGTATTATAACACCCTATAATACGTTCTATACAGCAGCCACAGTAATATTTTTAAAACCTAAATAGTTTTATATCCGTCTCCCAACCCTGTCTCAGTTTAACATTGTTGTTATGGCTTCCCATTAAATGTAGAAGAGTTTTGTATTCTTTTTAAAATATTTTAAAGCATGTTTTCTTTTTTTTTTTTTTTTACTGTCACTGCATATTTGTGACCTCTCAGCAAAACATTATTATTATTATTACTACTTTCAACTTAAAGAATTGGAGTGAAGGAAGGCTTCATAAGTTGCTCAAGGTCACACAAAAATTCTAGAACAAAGCAAGACTAAGAAGGAGAACACTGTTACGGTTCTTCAATCTGACTTCCAATGACTTGAATCTCAGCTACTCTAATTAAAATCTGAACTGCCAGTGCACATTTTGTAAACCCAAACTGAAAATAATCTGAAAAGTTTTACATTCTTTATCATGGCCCCAAATATTCTTTTCAATGTTTCTTGACATTGTTTATATAATAGAATTCTCTAGAGTATTTAAAAAACAATGATATTCAGGCCACATGTTCAAATATTAGTACTTAATTTATTTGAAATCAGACTCGGGTGTTAACATTTAAAAAAATAGCACTCCAGGTAATTCTTTCTTTTCTTTTTTTTTTTTTGAGACAGAGTCTCACTCTGTCGCCCAGGCTGCAGTGCGGTGGCAGGATCTCACCTCACTGCAAACTCCGCCTCCTGGGTTCAAGCAATTCTCTTTCCTCAGCCTCCTGAGTAGCTGAGATTATAGATGCCCACCACGATGCCCAGTTAATCTTTGTATTTTTAGTGGAAATGGGGTTTCACCATGGTGGCCAGGCTGGTTTTGAATTCCTGACTTCAGGTTATCTGCCTGGCTTAGCCTCCCAAAGTGCTGGGATTACAGGCATCAGCACACTCCAGGTAATTCTAATGTTCACCATGATGAAGAAGCTCTGCCCTTGTTGGGGTGATCAGACCCAACACCAGGTCGTGGAGGCTGCGAAGTCCAGCCGAGTCAAAGGAATGAGAAAAGACAAGAGAGAAAGTGGAACCAGGGGGCCAACACTAGTAAGGAGGCTGTGAGGGCCCCGAGCTCTGGGAGCGGGTCCCCAGCTCTGGGAGCCCATGCTATTTATTGGTAATCAAACAAAGAACCAGGTGGTGAGATTGTGGGGGTTGAAAGGAAGCAGTGTATCAAGCGAATGAGCTACAGCTGTGACGGTTTAGCATTTTCTTTGAAACATATGGCTACTTGAGATAATGGGAGTGCTAGAAGCAACGAGCCAGAAAGTCTAGACACATCCCAGAGGCCACGAGGGGTGTTAGACCCTGGCCCCCAGACATGTTTCAAGCCCTGCCCCAGCTTCTCTCCCAACACTCAGCTTTTCTCCCAACATGCCCTCCATAATTTCTACTCACTACATCTTCAGTCTCATCTACTGTTGGTTGCTTTCTTGCTCACTTGACTTCCATAGCCATGGTTTTCTCTCTGTGGCTTATGCCTGCCTTAGGGCATTGGTACTTTCTGTTCCTTCTGCCTGGAATGCTCCTCACCAAGATTTTCAAAGGGTTTCTTGCCAATTAGTTATTAACTTAAATATCACTTTTTTAAAAATGAGTGCCATTATCTCCAATAAATATCAGCTCTGCCTTTTCCCAATCTGTGATGCCAGTCATTTTCTATTACACTGTGGGGGAATTTTTAAAAAATAATAACACAAGAACAGGGAACTCATCTACCATGTTTACTTCTATAGTCATAGTTCCCTTGAGCAGTGAGTGCCCCACACATAAAAGGTTTTTAGTCAATCCTTATTTAAAAGGTGAATTACAGAGTGAACCAAAAATGATAGAATGTAGGCAAAAAAAAATCTCATTTAAGATAATTAATGTGGGAAATTCATTGAAGTATTAATAATACTCCATATTTTATATATATATATATATATATTTAGAGGAAGTCTCTCTCTGTTGCCTAGGCTGAAGTGCAGTGGCGTCTTCTCAGCTCACTGCAACCTCCGACTCCCAGGTTCAAGCGATTCTCCTGCCTCAGCCTCTGGAGTAGCTGGGATTAGAGGCACGCACCACCACGCTCAGCTAATTTTTGTATTTTTAGTAGAGGCAGGGTTTTACCACGTTGGACAGGATGGTCTCGATCTCCTGACTTTATGATACGCCCGCTTCAGCCTCCCAAAGTACTGGGATTACAGGTGTGAACCACTGTGCCCGGCCCATATGGAAGATTTTATTCCCAACATGGTAGTAACACAAAGTCCCTTCCACCATACTTGTGTGCAATGTGACCTTGCCACTCCCACATCAAAAGCTAGAGTCTTTTTCTCAACTCACTAATTCTGTTTCAACTCTGTGATTGCCATTCTAGGTCCAGGGTTAGCCCTTAAATGGGCCTGAAAGTTTCTACTTTCTGCCTCTTGGAAGCTAATACCATATTAGAAGTGAGAATGCCCTGATATTGCCAGCCTATGAGAAATATTTGCCGAGAAATGCCCAAAGAGTGAAACACTAAATGGAAAGGAGAAGAGAGGTAAAAGACCACCAAGGTTTATGACATATGACTGAGGAAGGCAATTAAGGGCTCCTCTGGCCCCAGCTGCCCCAGCTGATGACATGTAGAATGTTGTGATCCCACCCAGCTGAGTCCTTCCCAAATTCCTACCCCACAAAATCAGGAACAATATAAATGGTTGTTTTAAGCGGCTAAGTCTTATCAGGGAGAGTTTTATGACAGTTTTGTTATACAACAACTGATAAACAAAACACTAAAATTTAATGGCACCATGCTAAATCGTTTGCGTCAATTACATCATTTATTCTTTTCAACCTAATAAGGGTTAAGTACTATGATTGCCCCTTTTTATGCCAGAGGGAAAGATTCAGGGTTTAAACTAGGGAAGTCTGACTATATCTTGCTTTTAACTTTGTCATTTACAAAACAACAGGAAATGAAACATGTGCAAGAAAATGTCTAGTAATGGCTGCAGATGTGTTTGGATGATTTATTTGACATGTATCCTCAATCTCAATAAATACCGAAACCACACATACAGTTAATGTATTTCCACTGTTCTTCAACCAAGCAAAAGGAAACGGATGGGAAAGAGTAAGGGAAAGTAAGTAAGGGATGGAAAACAAGGGGTAAATGGCTTATATTCTCCATCTTGCAAAGCAACAGAGATTTATTAGGGGCACTTACACCATTGTCTGAAGAATAAAGAAAAGTGTATTTCGATTACCTTTTTTTTTTTTTTTGAGACGGAGTCTCGCTCTTTCACCCAGGCTGGAGTGGAATGGCGCGATCTCGGCTCACTGAAACCTCCGCCTCCTCGGTTCAAGCAATTCTCCTGCCTCAGCCTCCCAAGTATCTGGAACTGCAGGCACCCGCCACCATGCCCAGCTAATCTTTGTATTTTTAGTAAAGACGCTGTTTCACCATGTTGGCTAGTGAGAGGTGACAGCGTGCTGGCAGTCCTCACAGCCCTCGCTCGCTCTCGGCGCCTCCTCTGCCTGGGCTCCCACTTTGGCGGAACTTGAGGAGTCCTTCAGCCCACCACTGCACTGTGGGAGCCACTTTCTGGGCTAGCCAAGGCCGGAGCCGGCTCCCTCAGCTTGCAAAGAGGTGTGGAGGCAGGCGCTGGCGGGAACCTGGGCTGCCCGTGGCGCTTGCGGGCTAGCGCGAGTTCCGGGTGGGCGTGGCCTCGGCAGACCCGGCATTCGGAGCAGCTGGCCGGCCCTGCCCGCAGGGGCAATGAGGGGCTTAGCACACCGGCCAGTGGCTGCGGAGGGTGTACTGGGTTCCCCAGCAGTGCCAGCCCACCGGCGTTGCGCTCGATTTCTCGCCCGGCCTTAGCTGCCTTCCCGCGGGGCAGGGCTCGGGACCTGCAGCCCGCCATGCCTGAGCCTCCCACCCCCTCCGTGGGCTCCTGTGCGGCAAGCGGAGCCTCCCAGACGAGCGCCGCCCCCTGCTCCCTGGCGCCCAGTCCCATCGACCACCCAAGGGCTGAGGAGTGCGGGCACACGGCACGGGACTGCCAGGCAGCTCCACCTGCAGCACCGGTGCAGGATCCACTGGGTGAAGCCACCTGGGCTCCTGAGTCTGGTGGGGACCTGGAGAACCTTTATGTCTAGCTCAGGGTTTGTAAATACACCAATCAGCACCCTGTGTCTAGCTCAGGGTTTGTGAATGCACCAATCGACACTCTGTATCTAGCTACTCTGGTGGGGACTTGGGAGAACCTTTGTGTCCACACTCTGTATCTAGCTAATCTGGTGGGGAGGTGGAGAACCTTTGTGTCTAGCTCAGGGATTGTAAACCTACCAATCAGCACCCTGTCAAAACAGACCACTTGGCTCTACCAATCAGCACGATGTGGCTGGGGCCAGATAAGAGAATAAAAGCAGGCTGCAGTGGCAACCTGCTGGGGTCCCCCTCTGCTCTGTGGAAGCTTTGTTCTTTTGCTCTTTGCAATAAATCTTGCTACTGCTCACTCTTTGGGTCCACACTGCCTTCATGAGCTGTAACACTCACCGCGAAGGTCTGCAGCTTCACTCCTGAGCCAGCGAGACCACGAACCCACCAGAAGGAAGAAACTCCGAACACATCTGAATATCAGAAGGAAGAAACTCTGGACACACAGCCTTTTAAGAACTGTAACACTCACCGCAAGGGTCCGCGGCTTCATTCTTGAAGTCAGTGAGACCAAGGACCCACCAATTCCGGACACACTAGGATGGTCTCTATCTCTTGACCTCGTGATCCGCCCTGCTCAGCCTCCCAAAGTGCTGGGATTACAGGTATGAGCCACCGTGCCGAGACTTGATTACATTTTTATAGGAAGACAGCTACGTTAGTCTTTGAACCGAAGATATATTTGTTTTTCTACTGTTTCCAACCGATCTGACCAAATAGAAATCTGCTTCAGTATGTATTTAAACTAGTCTGAAAATCCCTTTCTGAACCTCAAACTCTGTAAATTCTTAAAATACAAAAGTTACATTCTAGCAGGCCTGTACTAACATTTTAGTGTGAAAGAATAAGGTTGTTAATAACAACAATAAGAGTAAAATTTAAGAGGAATTGATAACAAGCATTCTAATAACTCTGAAAAGATATTGTGAATGTCACTCATCCCTGCACTCTTAATTTCCTAGGCAATTGTCTCTTTACTTGCTATAGTTTTCTTTGTATAAATAACATAGCGCTAGTATAATTTGGTTTACTGATAGGATTAAAATGTAAAGATATGTTTAAATTGAACTAGCAAGAAGACACAATATAGTTTTTAGGCTAGTCATTCAACTGCTGAATTACAGAATTGAAATTTTGATGAGTCTCTGTTATCGTTAAACTGCCATCAATTGGTGTGTTGGCAGTGGTGGCAGTATTTGCGGGAAAAAAGGCAGAAATATAATACAAACACCAACAGCAAAGTATGAGAGGCTTAGAAGCCCTCAAAGTCTTTTGTTTCTGTGGCGATTTAAGGCAAAGTCACAAAATTTAATTTTGCATCAATTATAAATATATATTTCATACCTTAAGTGCAAAATCCCTCTTAGACAGACGTAAAACTATACATATTTACAGTAATGTATTTTGAGTAATGTCAAAGAAAAATTGCATTGGGAAAAGTTTAACAGGCAAAGATTTTATTCAAGACTATTTCAACAGCAGGAAAAGACAGCTCTCAACTCCACTGAAACAAAGAGCTAAAAACCTGTGTCGGAAAGAATCTCTGGCTTCCTGTGTGCTGATTGACCTTCCCCTAGGAAAAATAAACTTCCTTCATATTTTTATGACAGGATGTATTTTTATAATTTAGAGCAAGGTAACTAACAAAGTTCGGCTCTCACCGTCCCACAGAGACAGGGAGACAGGAGTGCTATCTTCCTTGATGATTATATTTCAAAAGGAAGGCTCCAAGGTCCTTCGGAAAGATGCTTCTAGGTCATAAAACTGGCAAGAGACTTTTAAGGAGATTTATGTACATTTCAACGAAAGAAGCTGATACAGAATTAGCAATTAGGAGTTTTCCAAACTACATGTTTTAGTCTAGGAAAAGGGATGGTTAAAGGACTATAGTCACAAAGGAAAATGTCTGAATTTCAGTCATGCTGAGGGGAACATTGTGGCCATCTTGGGTAGTAATGTATTTATCTATAATCTTTGTAACAGAGAAAACTAAAGTGTCCATTGTTCTCTTTTATGTGATAAAATATCTGCATGTGTTTGTGGGCTGTATGTGTTAAATGAGGAAAATATAAGCAGAAAATTTCATTGAACTGAAGAGTTTGCAGCTGTAACCAGACTGGCTTGATTTTAATTAAAGACCATCTGTATTTGGAATACAAGCCCATTGAAAACTTAACTGCTGTAAAAATGTTACAGATACTTTGAAAGATTTGAATCCTTTAAGAGCAATTAAACTCCATATTTGTTGGTCAGTGAATGGATGGATCAGCGTACAGAAATTTTAAAGTTTTCTTTTACATAGTTTAAAGTACATTTTATGCCAGTTTATAATGACTATGGTTTTCCTTTCAAATTTTTCCTCTGCAAAAAGAAATTCTTAATGCCATGGAGTATTTAGAACCTCTCCTGCTTCACTCTGTATAATTCTAACTCTGAATAAAGCATTTCTACTTAATGACTAAATAGGTCTGTTACCTACAAATCCCATGAGAGATAAAGGGAGAAGACATTAGTTTAATCTCTACCAAACCCTTTACAAGACCTGTAAACAGTATTTATTAAATTAATTGAGTTCTTTGTTCTATCCACTTGTTGATAGATATACTAAGAAACAGAGACTTGGGGAAAAAAAGAGCAGAAAAATATGTGTACGAAATTTTTTTAAAAAAAGAGTATTAAAAAAATCTACTTTATATATATATACTTTAACTTCTGGGATACATGTGCAGAACATGCAGGTAACAAACTTATGTGCCATAGTGGTTTGCTGCACCCATCAACCCATCATCCACATTAGGTATTTCTCCTAATGCTGCCCCTCTCCTAGTCCCCCACCTGCAACAGGCCCCAGTGTGTGATGTTCCCCTCCCTTTGTCCATGTGTTCTCATTGTTCAACTGCCACTTTATGAGTGAGAACATGTGGTGTTTGGTGTTCTGTTCCTGTGTTAGTTTGCTGAGAATGATGGTTTCCAGCTTCATCCATGTCCCTGCAAAGGACATGAGCTCATCCCTTTTCATGGCTGCATAGTATTCCATGGTGTTTATGTGCCACATTTTCTTTATCCAGTCTATCATTGATGGGCATTTGGGTTGGTTCCAAGTCTTTGCTATTGTGAACAGTGCTGCAATAAACATACATGAGCATGTGTCTTCATAATAGAATGATTTATAATCCTTTGGATATATATCCAGTAATGGGACTGGTGGGTCAAATGGTATTTCTGGTTCTAGATCCTTGAGGAATTGCCACATTGTCTTCCACAATGGTTGAACTAATTTACACTCCCACCAACAGTGTAAAAGCATTCCTATTTTGCTACATCCTCTCCAGCATCTGTTGTTTCCTGACTTTTTAATGATTGCCATTCTAACTGACATGAGATGGTATCTCATTGTGGTTTTGATTTGCATTTCTCTAATGACCAGTGATGATGAGCTTTTTTTCATATGTTTGATGGACACATAAATGTCTTCTTTTGAGAAGTGTCTGCTCATATCCTTCACCCACTAAAATACTATATCCAGCACATCTATTATTCAGGAACGAAAGAGAAATAAGACATTTGGAACCAAGAACAACAAAAAAGCAATATCAGAGGGAAAAAATGCTAAAGTGCATGTTTCAACCTAAAAGAAAAACACACTCTTGTGTAACAAGAAAACATCTGAAAGTATGAATCTCACTAATAACATGACACACTATATGCATATATCAAAATATCACATGTACCCTACATATATGTACAGTTATTACGTATTACGTATTATGTATTACCTATACATTTCACATACGAGAAGTACCTTATGAGTACAAATAAACTGTTTCAGATTTATCTTTGGCACTGTTGTACTACTTAGAAGGAATAACTATCACGTTAAAGTATTAAGTATTTTGTATTGGATTCCACTTGAGAAAAATGTCATCCGCTAACATTGTTACATACAAAACAGGATTGCAGGTCTATCTGAAACACTCATATACATTTAAAAGGTGGGACCACAGAAATGGAACCTAGACACTCACTGTGATGGTTAATATTGAGTATCAACTTGATTGGATTGAAGGATGCAAAGTATTATTCTTGGGTGTGTCTGTGAGGGCGTTGCCAAAGGAGATTAACATTTGAGACAGTGGACTGGGAAAGGCAGACCCACCCTTAATCTGGGTGGGCACCATCTAATCAGCTTCCAGTGTGGCCAGAATAAAAGCAGGCAGAAGATTGTAAATAGGCTAGACTGGTTTAGTCTCACCTACATCTTTCTCCCATGCTGGACGCTTCCTGCCCTTGAACACTGGACTCCCAAGTTCTTCAGCTTTGGGACTGGGACTGGGTTTCTTACTCCTTAGCTTGCAGATGGCCTATTGTGGGACTTTACCAAGTGATTGTGTGAGTCAATACTCCTTAATGAACTCCCCTTTATATATATATATCTATCCTTTTAGTTCTGTTCCTCTAGAGAACCCTGACTAATACATTCACATTCCATAAATACAAATTACAATTGCAATTTTTTTCTAGTAAAAATATCATTATCCCATTATTGGATTAATAGCACTGTCCTATTCGACTGGCTTAGATATATCATGTGCCTACAGCTAATCTGCATTCCTAGGGGAAAGAGATGCACTGATTTGTTAGGGCTGTAATATAGACTCCATTACTTGATTAGGCCATCCATACAGATTGAGAGTGTGAAAAGATGACTTGCTAAATGGGGCAACTGCAGAAAGAATGAATAATGTATGCTAAGAAGAAAACAACAAATACAACAGAGTAGTAAAGGGAACACTGAAGGAAGTCCCTTTAATGCCTTTACTAACTTTTATCATATAAATAGTCCTCTCATTCAGTTAATGTTCAGTATCTCTAGAAAAAAATACTGTCTCCCAAATAGCTTTGCTATTTTTCTGCTTTTCTTCCATGATGGTGTCTGCGGGAAGTTGTATGCAAGCTTATGCTGGCAAAAGAGAGTTGGTAGTCCTTGGTAATTTATTTAATGCTCTGGTCTCTTAACTGTTTACGTGCTTGCTTTCATCTCTTTTTTTCCATGTCAGGATCCCTTTACTGTTCCATACCATCAACTATGCCTCATCCACAAGGAAGGAAACCTTATGGTCTCAAGAAGTGGGGCAGAAGTATATTTGCTATTGCACTACAGGAAGACATCTATGCTATGACTCTAGGAATAATACTAACAATGTAATAACTAACACATAAAACATTATGTGTCAGACATAGTTCTAAACACTTTTCAGTTAAGCCATGTTATTAAATTAATCACCATATTAAATCATAACGTCATGCTCCTTTCATTCTGTAAAAAAAAAAACTAGAATATTCTTTCGCAAATGTGTTATTCAGGCCAACTAGGATGAAGCTCCTGTAATCAGAAAGGTCCAAGTGAAAGTCACATTAATGATTTCATCAGAGTTTGTTCTTTTCTCCCTCTCTGTAGACATACAACCAAATAGCTGTTTGAGTTTTCAAGTACTCACAGAGATATTACTAACAAATACTGAAGAAAGTAAGATCATGCAAATCAACTCTACTTTGTTTAGCTTTCTTCTCAGAAGTAAAATATGTTATGTCAAATGGAAGAAAATAAGAGACAGAGAAATCTGAAAGAGCAGGTAGAAAAAAGTGGGAAAGGCAGGAACAATACAACAATAATAATATACCTAAATCTATTATGAAGAAATAAAATCGTGGATCAATTTTGTTCTACTTTCCCTTCCTCAGCATGATCTCCCAAATATGCAGTGTAAACTCTACTGCTCTCTTGACAGTCTTGAGTGTTCTCTTGACACAGAGCAAAGGGGGATTTTAAAGAGAAAGAGGCAAGAAGAGAAGAAATTGGTTGCCGGCCTAGGGTAAATAAGATGAAAACCCAGCTTAATGGATTTTTCTGTTATCATGCAATGTACAAGACATATAAAATCTGTGTATAAATTTAATCGGTTTGAAGGTACTACTGTGAGACAGTACAACATTATGAAAAGATAAAGGAAGAGAAACCAAAAATCTTGGCTTCTGGTTCTATCTACTAGTAGATCTTTGATCTTGAGGCATGTCACTATTTTCTCGGTTTTTATTTTCCAGTCAAGGTTTCTCAAATGTAAATATTACTTATAATCTCAGAATCTTTTAAAAATATATATTTTGTATTACCTTAGACCTATGAAATGAAAATGTTTAGAAAATATATATTATACAGAAACTTCCTCATGTAATTTCAATGATGAGCCAGTTTGGATACCTCCTCTAGTAATTTCAATGATGAGCCAGTTTGGGAGATCATGCTGAGTAAGGGAAAGTAGAACAAAATAGATCCACAATTTTATTTCATCACTGACAGATTTAGGTATATCATTATACCTAATGCCAGATGATGTTCGAATTCTATTTCAGTTCAAATGTTCAATTTCTTCTTTAAAAACTATAATTTATATGTCATATAATTCTCCATTTAAATGTATACAATTTAGTGGATTTTAATACACTTACAAAATTATACAGTCGTCACCAGTATCTAATTCCAAAATGTTTTCATCACCCCAAATAAAAACCCTCTACTCATTAACATTTTTTCTTTCTCCCAAGCCCTTGACACCACTAATCTACTTTGTGGCTGGTGTTTGCCTATTCTGGACATCTCCCACAAATAGGATGTTACAATATGTATTATTTTGTTACTGACTTTTTATACTTAGCATATTTTCATTCATTGATGCTATAGCATGTATCAGCACTTCATTCATTTCTACGACTCAGTAATATTCCATTGTACGGTACACCACATTTTATGTGTTCTAACTCAAATGGACATTTGGATTGTTTCTACTTTTTGATTGTTATGAATGATGCAGGTATCAACACATTCACATACATATGCTTTTTGCACATATTATTTTTAATTCTCATGGATAGAGTTTACATGGGTTTATTGTATGATTCATCAATATCAATTAATAGGATATATCTAAATATATATATTTAGGATATACCTAAATTACTAGGATATAATCTAGTAATTGAATTGATGGATCGTACAATAACCCCATGGTTACCTCTAAAAAAAATACCAAATGGTTTTTTTTACAATAGCTGTGGAATTTTACAATCCCATCTGTAATGTATGAGGATTCTAGTCTCTCCACAACTGTACTAATACCTGTTATTTTCCTTAAAATAATTATTATAGTCATGCTATTGTGTGTGAAATAGTGTTTCCTTACGGTATTAATTTGCATTTTTCTTAATGACAAATAACGTTGAACATCTTTTTAAGTGCTTATTGGCCACTTGCATGTCTAATTTAGAGAAATACCTATTTAGGTCCTTTGCCTATTTTTAATGATGTCAATTGTATATTTATTGCTGAGCGCTAAGAATATATTTTATGGATACTAAAGTCTTATAATATAGAAATATATAATGCGCAAATATTCTCTCCCTTTCTCTGAGTTGTCTTTTCAGCCTTTATAATGTCCTTTAATGCAAAAAGATTTTTAATTTTAATAAAGTCCAATTAATCTATTTTATTGGTAAAAAATCTTTTTTTAAATTTCTATTGCTTGTGTTTTTGGTGTCATATCAAATAAATCATTGCTTACTATAAGGTATAGAAGACTTAGCCCTTATTTAAATAACTTCATAGTTTTAGTTGTTACATTTAGATTATTTTATCTATTTTGAGATAATTTTGTATATAGTGTAAATTAGTAGTTCAAATCCTTTCTTTTGTTTGTGAATATCCTCTTGTCACTTTAACATTTTTTGAAAAAAATTATCTTTTCCTCATTGAATTGTCTTGGCATTCTTGTTGAAAATGAATTTGCCGTAGATGTTCAGGTTTAATTCTAGATTCTCTATTCTAGTCCACTGACCTATAAGCATATCCTCTTGTCAGTATTACACTGTCCTGATTACTGTGACTTTCCCATAAGTTTTGAAATAAGAAAGCATAAATCCTCCAACTTTTTTTTTTCAAAATTGTCTTGAATATTCTGGGATGCTTCCATTTTCATATGTATTTTCAGCTTCTCCATTTCTATAGATTGCATTTCATCTGTAGGTTATTTTGTGGAATATTGCCATTTTAACCATAATAAATATGTCAATCCATTTGCATGGGATGAATTTGCATTTATTAAAGTTTGTTACAATTCCTTTCAACAATATTTTGTAGTTTTTAGTGTCTTGTATTACTTTTGATGAATTTATTTATAAATATTTTATTCTTTTGAATGCTATTTTTAATGTATGCTATTGTCAATGTCATTTTTGGATTGCTCATTGCTAGTGTATAGACATACAATTAATTTTTTAATATCAATTCTGTATCCTGTAAACTTTCTGAACCCATTTAAATTAGCTCTAATACTTTCTTGGTGGATTCTTTAAGACTTTTTGTACATAAGAACATTACAATTACTTAATATTAATATTGAAAGTAATGACAAAAACCGAATTACTTCTGCACCAACCTAATAACAGCTTAATTTCAATAGATGAAATACAGAATCTTTGTTTCTATACAGTTCTACCCCCCATTATGCTATTATTTTCACAAATTACATCACTATATATTAGGTGACAACATATATTTATAAATATTGCTTTATGGGATTGTCTTTTAAATCAGATTAGATTTGAAAAAAAAGGAGTTGCAAACATAGAAAATATATTCATACTGCCTTTTAAATTTACCTAGGCAGTGAGCTTAAGAAATATTCTTTCATTCTTCATGTGGAATTGAATTACTGTCTAGTGTCCTTTCATTTTAGCCTGAAGGACTCTCTTTACTATTTCATATAGGGCAAGTCTGCTGGCAATAAAATTTCTCAATTTTTGTTTCCCTGAGAGCATAGTCTCTTAATTTTTCATTTCCTAAAGGTTTTGTTTGCCAGATAGATAGAATTTTTTTAGTTAAAATTTTTTAGCACTTTCTCATTCCATTACCTTTGGAAGAAATAGCTATTAATTATTTTTTTTTTTTTTTTTTTTTAGTATCGCTTGTATGGAATTACTCACTTTTCTCTTGCTGTTTTCAAAATGCTCTATTTGTATTTGTCTTTTAACAGTTTGATTATAATGCATCTAGGTGTAGATCACTTTGAATTTATCCTACTTGAAGTTCATTGTGATTGTTGTACTTAGAGTAATTTTTCATCAAATTTACAAGGTTTTGGCCATTATTTCTCCAAGTATTATTTTTTCCTCTTTCTCTTTGTCCTTTTTTTCTGGGACTTACATTCTGTGTATGTTGATGGTCTCTGAGGTTCTGCTTATTTTTTCCTCATTCTTTTTTCTTTCTGTTTTTTAGACTAGATAATTCCAATTGACCTATCATCAAGTTTGGTGATTCTTTTGTTACCTGTTCAAATGTTTTGTTGTGTACCTCCAGTAAATTTCCCATTTCACATCTTTTGCTTTGTAAATACATAATTTCTTTTTGGTTCGTTCCTCTTTTTGTTATTCTGTATTTGGTAAGAGATCATTCTTAGGTTTTTCTTTACTCCTTTATATATGATCTCCTTTAGTTCTTATATAATATGAAAAATAGCCAACTTAAATGTTTGCCCATTAAGTCTGACATCTGAGCTTCTTTGGGAACAGTTTCTATAGGTTACGTTTTCTATTGGTTATTTGGTAACAGCTTCTATTAGTTACATTTTCTATTGGATATTTGGAAACAGTTTCTGTTACTGTTCCCCCCTGTGTATGAGTTAAAGAAACTGTTTCCAGTTTCTTAACATGTATTATGTTTTGTGAAAAATCAGATTATCTTACCAAATCAGGATTTGTTGTTAGTACTGCTTTTACAGTAATTTTTTAGTGACGTTTCTGAACTAATTCTGGAAAATCTGTATTGTCAAATGTGGCCATTAATTCTCTGCTTGATTAGTTATCAGCTAATAATTGAAGAGAATTTCTTAAATATCTGTAACCAATAAATCTTTCAGTCTTTATAGAAAGGTCTTTGTGTGTGTTAGAGCATGTTTTCAACACTTAGCCATTAAATTTGCCACTCTGTCTTAACCTTCATTTCCTGTTTATTCAGAGCCTCAAGATAAGTCAGAAGTGAGAATTTGGAGCCTCACTATATACTTTCTGAGAATGTGTACAGCCATCGGCAAGCATTGTGGTCTTCTAGACTCCAAGGAATATGTCTGAGCCTTTCAAATTCCCTATGGACATCTAATTCCTGAGCTTTTCCTCTTAAACTTTTGTTATTCTCTTCTTTGCCTCAACTACTAGCCATTTTTTTCCAGGAAGCCATGACGTTTAATCATTTGTCAGTAAATAGTTTTGGCAAAGTCTCCTGAAAAGAGGCTTTGAGCACTGAATGAGGCTTGAGTAAGATCAAATAGTCTTTCGACGCAGGTATTTCAAGGAACCACCAGAGAAGTCAAATGACAATTTTTCAATAACAAAGCTTTGGAAAAGCTCCTACTTTGTTCTCCTCCCTTCCATATAGATGTAAACTGTCATATTTCAAGGCCACCACTGAGCTACAGAAAGAAGACTAGGAGTAGAGTAACATAACGTGTTAAAAAGTTAACTGTTATTGCTAAGATGCAGCCACGTTTCTTGAATAAGTGCTCAACAGGTTACTGATAGCCTTTGATTAATATCAATTTTGAAGAAGTCGACTTCTTCAAGACTTTTGAAGAAGTTGAACATTTTTACCAGTTTTATCATTGCTTTTTCCAAGTGGTAAATTTTCAGGGGTCCCTACTCTTCTATTTTTCTGATTATAATTCATGATTTGTGTGGGACTAGTGGTTTTGTAAAAAAAAAAAAACAAAAAAAACTTTAAATATATAATTTTAAAATAAAAACTATGTTAAAAACCTATGTATTTTGTAAAATATATGTAATATGTTTTAATATATAATATACATTAAATACATACATAATACATATTTTAAATATATAAAATACATAATATATATGAAATAGAAAAATATGCAGCATAAGTGATTCACAATAGCAATTTTATATATGCAAATAAAATCCCAAACACATACACAAAAATGGTTTTTAAATATTCAAAACGATGTTTAAATATTTTCTTTAGCAGAAAAAATTAACATAAGTTTTATGAGCATATTTTTATGAAAGAAAAAGTTTCTTCTAAGTTTGTCAAGCAATACTAATTTTACATTGCTATAATCTTGCTGGTAACAATCAGAAAATAGCTAGGTAAAATATCTAATTTGGTAGAACTTCCATTGATCTCTCAATTTCTTTTAAGGTAATAATGGCTTACTATAGTGGTAAATAAAATAAGATAGGTCCCTTACCTAAAAACTTGTATTTCTTTGATATTGACCTTGTAGGGGAACAGCAGTAAAAATAACCAGTATATTATAAAAGTAAACTAAAAATGAGATATTGATGCATTTCAGAACATTCACAGATTTTTTTTAAAATAGGTCCTTCCCTTTCTGACTACACTAGCGCAAAATGGTACTCAATACTTTTTAATTGCTCAAATGTACAGGCCTTTAGCAATTTTCTACATAATTTGAATTTTACTAAGGTGAGCTATATCCAAGTTTTCAAAGTAAATAATGCTAGCTTTGGTAAATTACATTGCTCTTACTTTATAAATGCATGTAAGATGTACTTTATTTTTATTTTGTCCTAACTAGGCTGTGGCTGTTCATATTTTCTGAACCATCCTAACCAAATACTAATTCTGTAGTCATTTCAATGGTTCTTAATTCAAATTAAAGATTGTTTATTTAAGGAGATTTTTGATAAAATGTTACAATTTATGCCAGTATTCTGCTTAGGTTTGATGGTTTTATCTTTTCCATTTAAGCTTGTATTTTCTTTTGACTTAATTTTTGTATAAAGTGCGAGGTTTAGATCAGGTTATTTTTTTCCCTATGCCTGTCTAATTGTTCCACCTCCATTTGTTGAAAAAACTGTGCTTTATTTATTAAATTTCTCTGTACTTTGCCAAAAATCAGTTGAGCACACTTGTGTGGGCTATTTTGGGGTTCTGAATCTTCTCCACTGATCTACGTATCTATTCCTTTGACAATACAAGCCTATCTTGATTATTGTAGTTATATAATAAGTCTTTATATCAGGTTAAGTAATTCCATTCACTTTATACTACTTCAAAATCTTTTAACTATTGCTGGGCCCATGGTTTTACTTATAAATTTTTGCATAATCTTGGCTATTTCTTCAATATATCTTGTGAGATTTTGATGGAAATTAAATCAATTTGGGGAAAATTGGCATCTTTATTATGTTGAATTTTTCAATCAATTAACACAGTGTGTTTTATATTTATTTCATTATTTGATTTATTTCATCATTTAGTCTTTGGTTTTGCTATAGATATGTTTGTGTATATTATAGGTATGTGCTTTTGCCATTTGCTCATAGAGGGTCCCAAGTGTAATGTCAAAGAAATTATCTGAAGAGTTCAAAAAGAACCTGCAATATAAATATATTTCAAATAAGAACATATTTATTTAATAAAACTATCTGAATGATTTTCCTATAGCAATGCAGAGTTTATTTTAGAAATCTTCAGAACAGATATTTAAATATAAACAGAAGGCTAGGAAAAAGCAATATTATATGATATTTATTATCTACAAAAAATGGAAAAAACAAGCAGATATGCATTTGCTTTCATAAAATATGCAAAGCTAGTTTAAAACTTTAAAAAAATCTATTTATGAAGGAGGAAGGAGGCAGTGTGAAGGGAACAAGGGATAAGAATAGAAAATAGAATTCTTGGAATAAATCTTATTTTGTAGATATGACTTTGAAGCTATTTTATATCTTATATAATTAAATATAAACAAATTAAATTCAGTATCTGGTTCATAACAGAGAACATAACAAACAACTCTTTTAAGGAATGGAAATAAAAAAGAATGGTATTAAATATAAACCTAGAATACATACTTACATAATCAGGAATAAGATTTGCCTTTTAGGATTAAAAAAAATGGGATGCTGTAATACTGCATTAGTCTGAATGAATAAAAATAAACTTAAAATGAATAATTTTAGTTATATTTTTGCTTTAAGGAAAAGGTTAGGTAAAGATAATAGATTAATAGATAAAAGCTGCATACCAGAGAGAAGGAAAGGATTTATTAGAGAAAACAATGAAGCAATGAAAAGGTATATGAGTACAATATTCAGCAGTATATTTAAGGAATGGCAGGCTCCAAGGACACTTCTTTTTTCTTTCTTCTCTGTTCTATGACTTTAACTTGCTTTTTTTTTTTTTTTTTTTTTTTGAGACGGAGTCTCGCTCTGTCGCCCAGGCTGGAGTGCAGTGGCGGGATCTCGGCTCACTGCAAGCTCCGCCTCCCGGGTTCACGCCATTCTCCTGCCTCAGCCTCCCAAGTAGCTGGGACTACAGGCGCCCGCCACATTTTTTGTATTTTTAGTAGAGACGGGGTTTCACCGTTTTAGCCGGGATGGTCTCGATCTCCTGACCTCGTGATCCGCCCGCCTCGGCCTCCCAAAGTGCTGGGATTACAGGCGTGAGCCACCGCGCCCGGCCAACTTGCTTTTCTTAAGAGTGCAAATCATGACAGAATGTTGTCAGGACCTCTTTTGATGCTTCCAAAGAAGAGTCATTGGGCACATTTTGATCTAACAACTTAAACTGCCAATCTCTTGACTATAAAGCAGTGAAGACAGATAATCAAAATAACGTTAGAATGTTTACACTTATTTTATACTAACAGATGGGGACTCTGAAATTTTCAAGCTGAATTACTCTCTTTCCCTTCTCCACACTTGCTTATCGTTTCAGTTTCTGTCCTCTAGGAAATAGATGCCAAGACTGTTAATAGTGCCAGAAACTTACTGAGGGATAACGTCTGTGAAAGATACAGGGGGAGGGGATCAGTAGTAGAAGGGAAAGCATCCAGACTATGATGCAGATTTGATACCTGTGAAAGGAAATGAAGAAAGAGGGAAGATTGGGTAGAAAAACTCCTGGTTGTGTTGTAGCTCTAAGAAAGTGTTGGCTAATCCAAAGGCAAGATCTGGTAGAAATCCTGATTAACCGAGGAGTTCCTTTCAAGACAGAGGCCACAGAAACTGGCCTCTGACTGGCAAAATGAGATAGAGTTGCTGTTACGCAATTGGAACAGGAAAAGTATGTAGGGAGCTTAAGTGACTCACATGGGTGCCTGTTGGTATTCCCATTCCAGTTGACACTGTAAGTGGATAAATGCGACAACTCTGGCTTGAGAAGGGTATGCATGCAAGGGATTCAGATTCCTCAGAAATGAGCATTAGATCACATCGTAAATAAAGGTTTGTTCACAACAGATTCCTTAGGAATGAGGAAAGAATAATCAAGACATAAAGAGATCACAGATGAGAATAAAGAGGGTTTAAGAATGGATAGTGGAAGGTGGAAAGGGTGAGTACAAGTCATGGTCCTGAGAGCAATGGGGCCATTTTGTGTATCACCAGCCTTTCTCTTCTAAGTCTCCCTTCAAGAGAAAGAGTACTTTAGAACCACGGAAGAGCTACTTTCCTAATGATGGAGAAACAAACTTCTTGGAACAAGCAGAAGGTTGTAGCAACAATAGAAATATGCTATGCAGACCTCCCTTCTCTAAGGAACCTGCCACGAGGTGTGAAATTAGCTAGTGATCTTTAGCTGCAGTCTCTTAGGAATCCACCACCACGTTGGAGTTGAAGTTATGATATTCCCATAAATATCAGTCAATAGCTGAATATGGCAACAGTATTATGACAATTTATTTTCAACTTGGAACTCACTGCTGGGCATTCTTTGTCCCAGAGCTTTCTATTTATCTTATGTCCTACCAAGACTTTCTTAAAGTTGAACCACAGACTGAGATTTTTCCTATGCAATTTGTCTTTCTTCCCCATCTCCTTTATAGATGCCATATTTGTATCAGAGATGAAAATCCTTTCCTACTTACTTTTGTTTCCTCTCCCTTATACCTTTTATAAAAATTTTCTCCCAATAACCCCCTGGGAAACATAAAAACACCTTGCCATTTGCTTCTCAAAGGACCTGTGTGGGCACAATCTTCTCAATCCCTTTAGGTACCCCAACAAATATGGTCATGTTGCCTTGAAAAATACACCTTATATCGTGATTTTTGGAATGATCTGACTTTATTCCTGAAGTAGGAACAATGCCTTTTGAATAAAGATAAAATATCTAATAAATTTTGAAATTGTATATCGTTAGAGTTGCCTTCCTCTATTTCCTCACCTCATGGTTTTTCAAGTAAGCAAGTACTTAAAAAATCACCACATGTATTTATTTTTTCCCATAGCAATTTGATTATTAAGATGCTATCAATTCTGAATCAAAACTAAACTGTAACCTTAAACTCAACAATAAGAAAATGAAATATCTAATTACTAACGGGCAAAAGGATCTGAACAGACACTTCACCAAGAAGTTATGTAGATAGCAAATAAGAATATAAAAAGATGTTCATCTATGCAAAAATCCTCAATAAAATACTGGCAAACCGAATCCAGCAGCACATCAAAAAGCTTATCCACCATGATCAAGTCCGCTTCATCCCTGGGATGCAAGGCTAGTTCAACACATGAAAATCAATAAAAGTAATCCAGCATATAAACAGAACCAAAGACAAAAACCACATGATTATCTCAATAGATGCAGAAAAGGCCTTTGACAAAATTCAACAACCCTTCATGCTAAAAACTCTCAATAAATTAGGTATTGATGGGACATATCTCAAAATAATAAGAGCTATTTATGACAAACCCACAGGCAATATCATATTGAATGGGCAAAAATTGGAAGCATTCCCTTTGAAAACTGGCACAAGACAGGGATGCCCTCTGTCACCACTCCTATTCAGCATAGTGTTGGAAGTTCTCGCCAGGGCAATCAGACAGGAGAAAGAAATAAAGGGTATTCAATTAGGAAAAGAGGAAGTCAAATTGTCCCTGTTTGCAGATGACATGATTATATATCTAGAAAACCCCATAGTCTCAGCCCAAAATCTCCTTAAGCTGATAGGCAACTTTAGCAAAGTCTCAGGATACAAAATCAATGTGCAAAAATCACAAGCATTCTTATACACCAATAACAGACAAACAGAGAGCCAAATCATGAGTGAACTCCCATTCACAATTGTTTCAAAGAGAATAAAATACCTAGGAATCCAACTTACAAGGGATGTGAAGGACTTCTTCAAGCAGAACTACAAATCACTGCTCAATGAAATAAAAGAGGATACAAACAAATGGAAGAACATTCCATGCTCATGGATAGGAAGAATCAATATTGTGAAAATGGCCATACTGCCCAAGTTAATTTACAGATTCAATGCCATCCCCATCAAGCTACTAATGACTTTCTTCACAGAATTGGAAAAAACTACTTTAAAGTTCATATGGAACCAAAAAAGGGCCTGCATTGCCAAGACAATCCTAAGCCAAAAGAACAAAGCTGGAGGCATCACGCTACCTGACTTCAAACTATACTACAAGGCTACAGTAACCAAAACAGCATGGTACTGGTACCAAAACAGAGATACAGACCAATGGAACAGAACAGAGCCCTCAGAAATACTACCACACATCTACAACTATCTGATCTTTGACAATCCTGACAAAAATGAGAAATGGGGAAAGGATTCCCTATTTAACAAATGGTGCTGGGAAAACTGGCTAGCCATATGTAGAAAGCTGAAACTGGATCCCTTCCTTACACTTTATACAAAAATTAATTCAAGATGGATTAAAGACTTAAATGTTAGACCTAAAACTATAAAAACCCTAGAAGAAAACCTAGGCAATACTATTCAGGACATAGGCATGGGCAAGGACTTCATGTCTAAAACACCAAAAGCAATGGCAACAAAAGCCAAAATTGACAAATGGGATCTAATTAAACTAAAGAGCTTCTGCACAGGAAAAGAAACTACCATTAGAGTGAACAGGCAACCTACAGAATGGGAGAAAATTTTTGCAATCTACTCATCTGACAAAGGGCGAATATCCAGAATCTGCAATGAACTCAAACAAATTTACAAGAAAAAAACAAACAACCCTATCAACAAGTGGGCAAAGGATATGAACAGACACTGCTCAAAAGAAGACATTTATGCAGCCAGCAGACACATGAAAAGATGCTCATCATCATTGGCCATCAGAGAAATGCAAATCAAAACCACAATGAGATACCATCTCATACCAGTTGGAATGGTGATCATTAAAAAGTCAGGAAACAACAGGTGCTGGAGAGGATGTGGAGAAATAGGAACACTTTTACACTGTTGGTGGGACTGTAAACTAGTTCAACCACTGTGAAAGACAGTGTGGCGATTCCTCAGGGATCTAGAAAACTAGAAATACCATTTGACCCAGCCATGCCATTAATGGGTATATACCCAAAGGATTATAAATCATGCTGCTATAAAGACATATGCACACATATGTTTATTGCAGCACTATTCGCAATAGCAAAGACTTAGAACCAAGCCAAATGTCCAACAATGATAGACTGGATTAAGAAAATGTGGCACATATACACCATGGAATACTATGCAGCCAAAAAAAAAGGATGAGTTCATGTCCTTTGTAGGGACATGGATGAAGCTGGATACCATCATTCTCAGCAAACTATTGCAAGGACAAAAAACCAAACATCGCATGTTCTCACTCATAGGTGGGAATTGAACAATGAGAAGCACTTGGACACAGGAAGGGGAACATCACACACAGGGGCCTGTTGTGGGGTGGGGGGAGGGGGGAGGGATAGCATTAGGAGATAAACCTAATGTAAATGACGAGTTAATGGGTGCAGCACACCAATATGGCACATGTATACATATGTAACAAACCTGCACGTTGTGCACATGTACCCTAGAACTTAAAGTATAACAAAAATATATATATATATGAAAAAGAATATTAAAAAATGTTCAACATTTTATGGTGAGAATTTTAAGTTAAAGTCTTTTTAAAAAAACAACTAAGTTACAATTTTCACTATAGGCAGATCCCTGTTGGTGAAGGTAACAGGTCTCTTCGTGGTTCCTCAGGGCCCTCCAATTAGATATTCTTGTGTATAATGACAAAGATTTGCAAATGCTTGTAGAATGCAAAGTCAAAACATTACTCTAAATTAACTACTAAAGCCTTAAACACTTTATCACAGTTAGCTCCTCAATGTCAAAATCATTTTAGAACCATGTAGAACCTTGTTTCATTTCTCTTAGGACTATCTCAACTTTTATGTTACACTGAAATTACTTTATGTCAATCCTATTTTACCTAAGTCCAGCAGAAACTTACCAAAATCAAATTTTAATTCTATTTCCTTCATGCAGTCCAGTATGGAAAGATTTCGTATTTTTCTAAGGCCCAGTAAAAACCAATTTTGTCACCTAGTTGATTAGCACTTAAAAAAAAAAAAAAAAAAAAACTCAGAGAAAGGGAATGTAAATATATGCTTTCTTGTATTTTTCGATAGAATGCCACCTTGATTTCTATTTGCTGGTTTATTGTTTACTCCTATCCTCTACTTCTATTTTCTTTCTGAACTCCTTAAGTTATCATTCAAATATATTTAACATTTTAATGGTGTTGTATGTATTATTACAAAAATGAGAATTGTTTTGTATGCATGTGTTTGTTGTAAAATTTGTATTGTTTCCTATATCTTATTCTGATATTAGTATTTTCATTAAACTTTTTGTTAAGATTCATTTTACTATCTATTCATAATACCCATACCATTGAGTGGATCTTTCCTATTTCACTTATCTACTCTCCTGTGTTTGGATTCCCAGGTTTTTGCTAACTTCCTGATACCACAAAAAACACCAAAATTAACAATCTGGTTCATATTTCCTAATAGGCTAAGTGCCCAGGGGAAGATTTGCTGACTTTCAACATACAAATATATTAAATTTGAGTGAGTGACACCAGTTTGCTTTCCCATATGGCTTTACCAGCCTACAGCTTCTTCAGCAGCTTCTATATATCCTCACTTTGTCAACATTGGGCATGATCCAACCTCTTCATTTTTTTTTTTCCAGTAAAATCAGCCTAAAGAGATCTTTTATTTTTGCATGAATTTGTATTTTTTCAAATATTTATAATTTTAAATCTCCCTTCATAGACTCGCTTCATAGGCTTGGGTTTCTCTCTCTTTGAAAATTATTTGTTTATATTCTACTTTTGAACTTGGGATCTTGCATGTTGTTAATTTACAGGAGTTCCTTGTATATGCTAAATATCCTCATTTGGTTTCGAGCATCGTAAATAACTTCTCTCTTTCAGCTGCATATTCTCTCTATTTCTCTTCCACCGAAGAGAAATAATGTGATCAGATCACAATATTACATTTCTTCTTTTGTGCATTTGAAAAAAATTAGAAAGTTTTTTCCTGCCTATAAATTACTAAAGAAATTCTATTTTTCTCTGTTAAGTATATTTCTTTATCTTTCAAATTTAGGTTTATAATCCAGGTAGACTTCACCTTTGTACAGGACATTAGCATCTATTTGGCTTTAATACCCTTATATTAAGACAAAAAACCTGTACATATATGATTTTAATGGCATATTACATAATCAGCAAAAAACTGTCAACAACACAAAGTATCTCACTTGAAGAATGGATAAACAAACAGTGGCATATCTATACACTAGAACATTCAACAATAAAGAGAAATACTATATATATATGAAGCAACATGTTTATGTTATAATTTAATTTTGCCAGTCAGGCACAGTGGCTCATGCCTGTAATCCCAGCACTTTGGGAGGCTGACATGGGCAGATCACCTGAGGTCAGGAGTTTGAGACCAGCCTGGCCAACATGGTGAAATCCCGTCTCTACTAAAAATACAAAAATTACCTGGGCATGGTGGCTCACACCTGTAGTCCCACCTACTCGGGAGGCTGAGGCCGGAGAATTGCTTGAACCGGGAGGCACAGGTTGCAGTGAGCCGAAATCGTGCCACTGCCCTCCAGCCTGGGCAACAGAGCAAGACTCCATCTCAAAAAATATAAAAATGAAAAATAAAATAATAATAATAAGAAGAACAAGAAGAAGAAGAAGAGGAAGAAGAAGAAGAGGAGGAGGAGGAGGAAAGAGAAGGAGGTGGAGGAGGAGGAGGAGGAAAGAAAAAAATAAACTTTGCCAAGTGAAGAATAGCCATATCCAAAAGCTTACAACATGATTCTCTTTATAGATAATCCAGAAAAGATTAAAAAAAAAAAGGGGAGAATGCACATCAGTCATTGCCAGAGACTAGAAGAGGGAAAAGTGTCAAATACAAAGAAACACGTTAGAACTGGGGGGTGATGGAACTATTCTATATCATGATTGCGGTGGTAGTTGCACAACTATATGCATTTATCAAAACTTGAAGAAATGTACATTAAGAAAAGCAGTTTACTATATGTATGTTATACCTTAATGACTTTTTAAAATTAGCAATGCTTTCAAGTCAAAAATTATTTTAAAGAGCACAGAATAAATCCAAGGAGAAAATAAATGAAACAATAAAAGTAATTGCAGAAATCAATGAAACAGTGAACACAACACATGCTATAGAATATTAAACAAACAAAAAGCTGAATATTTGAAATGATTAATTCTATTAACATTCTGGCAAGATGAATAAAGAAAAATAGAGAAAAGCACAAATAGAATATTGATGTAAAAGCCTGGGGAGGGAGGGCAGTGAGGGAGACTGCTGATTAAAAAAAAAAAAATCATGAAAAGGACTATTACAAACAATTATAGAAGAATAAATTTGAAAACAAACATGAACTAACCTTCCAACTAAATCATGTCCCCAGTGAATGTTTCCTGTCAAGATGAGTAGTGGTACCCCTGAAATAACCTGCGGGCTTAGCTGCCTAATCAGTGTGCCACTGCAGTCCTCCAGGCAGCAAGGGATTTGGATGTGCTGCTGTACTCGTTTTCGTCACTGTTAAATGGTAGGCCTTTGGCTTCCGGAGTCACCTGGCCTGAAAACCTTTTGCCTCGAGCAGCCTTCTCAACTAACTTTTGTGTCTCATGCCAATGGTATCATTTTCTATGCGTATCCTTCCATCAGGAAGAATGGGAAGCACCGTCTTCAAGCACCCTGTCAAAATAATAAAATGTTTGAAGAAAACAAATCCATTTTGCCTTATTCTCATTAACAATAACTATTTAATTATATCTTTTCTTGAAATCTTGTGATGAAAACCAGAACCTTTCTAAACACCCTAGGACATTCTGAATTCAGGATATATTTTTGCAATTTATTAATAAGTCTATTCAGAGTACCATGTTCTACCCACAGCCTTATAATTCTTGATTTTTTTATGCACCTAAAAGATGAGGATGCACAGGGCCTATGGAACTCAGGGAATATGCAATATATCAGCATGCCTTCTGTGTTCCCACAAACTAGATTTAAACTAGCACAATATTTTCCTAAAGGGTCAAACACGTTGCAGCTTTATTTTGTATTTCTTGCTCTCAGCACAATCCCAGATATGGCAAAGCCTTCTGTGGCTTCTTTCTCTCAGGTGTTCTGGAAATTATACTGTTTTTGAGTGGGGACTCTGGGGACTTTCACATGGTACAAATCTAAGAGAAAGCAGAGATAGTATTATTTTTCTTTGTTTGACTTTCTGATAGGCTTCTATCCTGAGAATGTGAATGCAAATGACCTATAGTGATAAAATGTCAATTTGCTGCCTGGAGTACTGGGACAGTACTTCTTAAAAGTTGAAGCAAGTCCTAACCATTTCTACCATTCTCTGCATTATTAGCCCTTTGTCTCAACATATCAGGAGGAGCTGCTTCTTCTCAGAGCCACCATGTACCTGAGTGAAGAATAAGCTTCAATATTTGATCTTCAGTAGAAATGATTCAATCAATATTTACCATGAGAAATGCATTTCATGAAATAATTTGAACATGTGGCTATCTGCAACCCACTCTTCACTATCGCTAGATTCTCTAGTGCTTCTATGTAAAGTCCCTTCTAACATTTTGGCCTCCCATACGCCAGGGCACTAGGAGTTCTGAAACAAATTTGGTAGGTGCCTACTCTGGTGGAACCCAGGAGCAATGCCCACCTGCGACCCCTCTGACATTTCTTACTTACCTCTGGAGCGCCCTCTTGTGCCCAGATACTTATGGTACTGTCCCATATCATAGATACATGCTTTCGTGTCAGATGACAATTGCAAGCATTGCCATTAAAGGATGCAAGCATTGTTTATACAGGAACCATGTGCCAAAACAAAAAAACTCTCAAGAGGTTACAGACCAGTGCCATGCTTCCCTCCAATGTGCTTACACTAAGCTTTAAATTGTAATTATGTGTGTATATATGCATTTTTTACTACAGTGACTGTCAGTATCTTGGGAAGAGCCGTTATTGTAGCTCCTTCAGTCTCTAAAGTGACTGACTACCCCCTCCTCTTCTTCCTTTGTTACAAACCTCATGATGTGGCATATATTGCAAAAAATCACATCTCATAAATGTTTCCAATGAACTCTTGGCCCAAAGGAAAACCCCTCTTTATGTCACAAGAATAAAAAAGGAAAGACTATAAATGTGATCTCTAGAAAGGCATTCCTCTTCACACAATTCTTAATACATTTCCTTAGATGATATCTGGAAACTGAAATTCTTTCTTGTATTCTTCTTTTATTCCAGAGGCAACTTGTTAAATCCTCACCTTTCTATCTCTGTGCCTCACTGATCTATTCATTCAAAGAGACCACTCTTTCCAGCACTTAGTGCTGAAAGTTTATTATTGTGAAAAAAAAAAAAAAAGCTCTGAACCAATTTTGTTCAGGTGAAGACTAAAATTTTCAGTTATACGTGTCCATTCTTTAGCATAGCCATAGTCTGAAAACATAAGTGGATATAAATAATAAATGATTAATCACTATTACATTATAATATATGATGTGACCAATGACACTACATATTTCATATGTTGTCCCTTATTAACAATGCATAATACAACACACTGTGCAAAATTGCAATAAACTCAGTGCATTATCCTGACATTTCTTTTATTTCCTGTCTTCTTAGATGCTTCATGTCTCTCATTTTCTCTAAATAAGCATGGGCCTTCACTATACCACTGAAGAGATTTGCTCTGCAATTAAAAACAAAACAAACAAACCACACAATAGTTCAGACTTTTGTGACCATATATATAATTAATTCTATAAATCATTTATTGATGAAAACCTGTCTTGATCACTGGAATATTGGGAATAATAAGACAAAATAGCTGTCCTCATGAAATTGATTGTCTAAATTCTTTTGTATGTGATATGTAGAAGTAAATATGATGATACAAGAAATATGTCAGAGGATTTTAACCTAGTCTATGAAGTTAGAGAAGGCTTTATAATAAAATGGCATTAAGCTCATATTATAAAGGTAAGTGGATTTTATTGAAGTGCAGCTGCAGTATTGAATGAGTCAGCTCAATCTAACCAGAGGATAAAGCATATGCAAAGCACTGGACCAGAGTGAGAATGTGACATCCCGAGGCACTGTAAGAAGAATTTATGGGTGCAGAGTAGGAAGAAAGTTAAGGCTTCATTTGGAGACTCTTATGAGCTGTATTAAATGTTTAGGATTTTATCACAAGAGCAATGGGAATTCATTTATATTTTTTAAGTAGAACTGGCACAACTAACTAGCTTTTTATTTGAAAATAATGTGTTGGAGTAGAGTAAGTGGATGCAGGGAAACCAACCGGAGATTACTGCAGTGGTCAGAACAGAGATGTGGTGACCCACACTAGGGGCAGTATGTTTGGAGAATAGTATATGGCTTACGAGACATTAAAGACTCAATCAATCAACTGAATTTGGTCACTGTTAAATGTAGAGGGAGAAGAAATACAAAATCAAAGGTATTTTTCAGATTAAATAGTTGGAGGTTATTTAATAAGACAGAAAAACTTGAAGAAGGGGAAAATTTGCAAGAAAAAATGACAAATCCGATTTTGGACATACTGAGTTTTAGGTATATGAGTTGTTGTTAAGCATATAGAGGTTGGCATTGGGGAATTATCTGTTTACAGATGGTACTTAGGCCGTTGGATTGGTTGTTTGCATGTGGGTGTAGGTTTAGTTGTTGTTTGCCTGTCTTTTCCCTTATTATGTTGGTGCAAAAGTAATTGCAGTTTTTGCCATTGAAAGTAATGGCATAGCCATAGTCTGAAAACATAAGTGAATATAAATAATAATGAATCACTATTACATTATAATATATGATGTGACCAATGACACTACATAATATATTTCATATGTTGTCCCTCATGAACAACACACAATACAATCCACTGTGAATTTTGCCATTACTTTCAATGGCAAAAACCGCAATTACTTTTATACCAACCTAATAGAAACATTTTGAATATATTTAAATATGGGTTAGGAAAGAACTGATGAAGGAAAAATTGAAGGCATGGGACTGAAAAGGAATAATTGTGTAGCTGAGTAGTTTCTTGGGATATTTGTAATTATCTATTACTTCTAAAGAAGGTGATTTCTGGTAAGCGGAGGGTCTTTAATCTGTTGGGCACAGATTATTATTGGCAATCCACATAGCTGAGAAGAGTTTTAAGCAATGAGGCAAGTATGGATTTAGGATAAATGTGAGTTAGCTTATTTTACCTGGGAAAAAAGAAAATTAAGACTTAATGGGGAACACCTAGCTATGTAAAAAGTAGGACTGGGACTGCTGGGCTCCTTATGTGGGAAGAAAAGCAAAAGGACATCATTCTGAATAGTCACTAGACACTTTTAATTGAGTTTTGAGTGAAATTCTATTCAGTGTTTTACAACAGTTATTCTTCCATTCCTATAAAAATCTCCAGTGAAATCATTCCTTCTCATTAATCCCTAATGTAAATTGACTCTTTGTAGTAAATGTAAAGAACCACGTTTCTCTATCACAGATTCTTTTAGACCAACTAATGTATGCATAGACATTCTTTTAGGTGGTGATAGAGAAGATGAGCATCAGAACACACATGTAAGGATATATCTTACGGTGAACCAAACCTTTACACTATAACAGGAAACAGGATAAAACAATGATGGTGGGTATGTATAGAAAAAGTGATTTCATAGCAAGGTCAACTGCTGAAAAGGATGGATAAGGTGAAGTTACTGCCAGTTTAGAAATAATGGGGAAAACTGAAATAATTTTGAAGGGGTGGGGGCATGTGAGTTTGCAATGTAATATCAATGTACAATTGATATTTGGGAAGGCAGTGAGTGTCAGTGTGCCTGCCAATGAAATAGGCTCAGTGACCATGGCCCAGTTTTTGACCAGAAGTTTGACTGAATTCAATCTGAAGATTTATATTTTTTCGATGGTGTGACGGCAGGGCAAAGAGGCATGGGAACTCACCTGCTGATTCGACTGTGCTTCCCACCCCTCACAAAGAGTCTCTCCCCCAAGAAGATGACATTCTTGAGATGCTTCATCCCAAGAATGCTTTTAAATGCTGTTTCCATCATGCAAAAGAGCAAATTCTCTTTTAAAAATACTGGCTTTCTAATTCCTATCTTAGGTGACAGAGGTAAAAAACAAACAAGTACAGATGGATCATGCTATAGTTTGGATATTAGTCCCCTTCAAACCTCGTGTTGAAATTTTATCCTCAGGGTTGAAAGTGGGGCCTAATGAAAGGTGTTTTTGTCATGGGGGTGGATTCCTCATGAATGGCTTGGTACCATCCTCGCAGTAATGAATGAGTTCTTGCTCTGATACTGGGAAAGCTGATTGTTTAAAAAGAGCCTTGTACCTCCCCTGTCTCTTTCTTGCTTCCTCTCTCACCATGTGATCTCTGCATACACCTGCTCCCATTCACCTTCTGCCATAAATGGAAGCAGCCTGAAGCTTTCACCAGAAGTAAAATCTTTTAGCCAGCAGAATCATAAGCCAATAAATATCATTTTAAAAAATTAATTACACAGCCTCAGCTATTTATTTTTATTTTATTTATTTATTTATTTTTTGTTTTTGAGACAGTTTCACTCTGAAAACAGTCACCCAGGCTGGAGGTCAGTGGCACTATCTCAGCTCACTGCAACCTCCACCTCCTGGGTTCAAGTGATTCTCCTGCCTCAGCCTCCCAAGTAGCTGGGATTGTAGGCACCTGCTACCATGCTTGGCTAATTTTTGTATTTTTAGTAGAGATGGGGTTTCACCATGTTGGCCTGGCTGGTCTTAAAATTCTGACCTCGGGTCATGTGCCCTCCGTGGCCTCCCAAAGTGCTGGGATTACAGTCATGAGCCACCGTGCCCAGCCTCAGCTATTTCTTTATAGCAACACAAACTAAGACAGATCCCTATTAACATCATGTATACCTCACAAGATGCACTCCTTTTTACCCAGAACTACCAGTAAAAACATTTGTTTTCCAGCTCCAATTCTTCCTTTTTAAGCAATTATTATTCTGCTTTATTTTATGAGGCAATGGTGGTTCATCCGAACTTGGAACAACGATTTTCTTGATCACACATCACCCATCTAAATGTGTTAACCCTAAGAGCTAGTAAATTCCTTAATACAAACCAAAGAGTTGGAAACGCTGGCCTGTGGAGAAAACCATGCATATGCTGCAGTGATGTAAGTATTTCTCTCTAGTTGTCTTTACAAAGATTTGTTAGCAATAGTAATGTTATTATTTAAGCTGTAAGCCAGAAATCCAAGTGAATATTCTTTTTAAGGAACCAGTCCAAGAACAGTTATATATTTTGGAGCTTTCCTTTTATCTATTTGACAAAATTTTAAATGTATGAGTAATAACATTCTGAGAAGCCTGGAAGGAGCATATAAAAACTTAAGTTCATCTTAGAAAACATATCCCAGATATAACCCTTCTATAACTCTAAATTATAAGAACAAAAGCAAAACTTCCTTATATGGGTCCCTCCCTCAGGCATCTCACCTTTCAACAAATGGCCAACCAGATACCATATTTTCAGTGTTGTCCATTTGAAAATTCATAATCTGGAAATATTTTCATCCATTGATACTACTGATAAAAAATAAAAACTTAAGAATTTATATTCATGAAATGAGGAGGCACATTATTTTAATGGCAAGGGTTTCTATGGCCTTCATAAAAAAGGTTCCATGTGGTCCCAGAGCTTATTTTTGGCATACAATAAGAATTTCTCATGTTCTGAAACATCTAGCATATTTATTGTTCATTGAAGAATTCATTCTTACCCTAATAATTTACTGTAACAGCAATAAATATTGTGGCACTACCAAGCTTCGAGGAACATATTTCCTCACTGTTTTTAATGAGGTTCTTATAGCAGCATCTATAATAGATATAAATGCAAAGTGATACTTAAAAATATAGATAATTAATCCTCATGACAGATCAGCTAAATCAGCGTTTCATGGTAGAGGGGTCCAGATATTCATCTTTTAAAAAGCACTTTAGATGATTCAAATGCACAAAGAGGTTTGAGAATGACTGATATTCACCAACAGTTTACTGATATACCGCCTTTTTGTTTGTTTGTTGTTATTGTTGTTTGTTAGGTGACTAGAGTGCAGATAATCATTGTTTCTGGCTAGATTCTCAGCACATTTCTACGCCATAAGACCTTGTCAGGTGTTCATATTTAAAATACACTCCATATCTGATTAGATCAAAAACTCTGAAAGGCACGTATCAACCCAGTTCTTCCAACAATTTAGTTTCTGAAAGTTGTGCCTTACTTCATGGCTTGTGCTTTCCTGTCCTTGAATTAGTTCATTAATTTTTTTAATGTCATAAAATGATTCTTTATTTTATTACAATTCTATTATAAGGGAGATAATTAGGAGTCATATTTTTATCCTAGCTACACTAATATTTATAGAATGTTGATATTGGATGGGCCTTGGAGAGCACATAATTCAAATTTTTAGTTTTCAGAGAGGCAATACTGTTTAATATAAAGAGTTTTGGCAACCAGGTGGCAAAAATAGAAATAAAGTGTTTGATTCTCCACACTCCAATCACCAATTTCTAGCTCAGTGACAATAAATATTTAACCTCTCTGGATTGCAGTATCCTTATATTAGAGAGAATGTAGTATTTTTTGTGAGAAATATATCTTATAAAGTACCAGGCATATAGTATTATTTTGAAACACTATCCATTATTTCTTAAGGCATTTTATCATCTATTGTCTAATATCAAAGACAATAGTATTCAAGGTAAATCTTGTTTTCAAATAGTCACTGTTGTTTAGTTAGAGTTGGGATTAACTGTCTTTGATTGACATGAACATATAAATTCTACTACATTAGTAGTAGAAGAATTTTTCTGAAAGAGGGCTTCCTAAACCAAAAAGAATTGTGTATTTTTTTTCTTTCTCACCTTTGTGATGATATGACACATCACTCTCATAGCAATAGTGCAAGCTCTGATTAGGCTGTATATGAAGATGAAACTATCAATAACAAGCCAAGAAGAACAATAAAGCCTTCTAAATAGTGTAAAAATGTAAAAGCAATACAGTTCTTTTTATCTGTAAAACATCAGTTTTCACTTTGAATTTCAGATATTTTTACTCATTCACATATAAGCATGAAAGATTTAAAATCATATTTATGCCTAAGTATGTTCTAATTAGATGTAAATATTACTTTTTATTTGTTGCTATAGGAAGAAACTACCATTACTTCTTTATGTTAACTGACAATAAATGTTGATAAATAATAGTAAAAATAGAAGGTTTTAATCACATCTATCTACACTCAAAAATTATATTTTGTATATCTATATTCACCAAATAAAAAATTCTCTTCAAATTCAAAGTAAGATTAACATTTATATATATATTTTTGTTAACCTCATTATAGAAGTAGGTACTTAGAATTTCTTGATTTCATACTGTAATAGCAACCTGGAATTCTCCCTCCAGCCTTTTCTTTACCACAACTTTTCTTTTTCTTTACTATTATTATATTGGAAAGCCAATGCTTATGGGGTAAGATGAAGGCTTTTTTGTTACATTTTCAAACTTTTCCATACATTCTCCAAATCTAAATTCTTAAATTATTCTCTTTCTCCTTGCTTCTGTGAATATTCTGCTGTCACTAGTTGATCAAAGTATCTCTCTTTTGAACCTATTTCTTCTTCATATCTTTGTTTATGCTGTTGTTTTTTCTCTACCTGTACCCTGGCATTAAATTACTCCTTTATTTTGACAGTAAGAAAACTCGTCTAATCTTCAAAATTCAATTCAACTTGCTTCTCCTCCTTTTTTTTTATTTTTCAAATACAAGTGTAGTTTGGAGATACTGTGGGTTCAGTTACAAGCCATTGCAATGAAGCAAATATCACAATAACATGAGTCACACAAAGTTTTTGGCTTTCCATTGCATATTAAAATTATGTTTACAATATACTGTCATCTATTAAGTGTGCAATTGCATTATGTCTAAAAATCAATGTAAATATCTTAATTAAAAACACTTTATTGCTAACTTGTTAATGATAATCTGAGCCTTCAGCAGGTCATGATCATCTTGATGATAGAGGGTCTTGCCTCGATATTGGTAGCTGCTGACTGATGAGGGTGCTGCTTGCTGAAGGTTGGGGAGGCTGTGTTAATTTCTTAAAATAGAACAGCAATGAAGTTTGCTACATAGATTGACTCTTTCACAAAATATTTTTCTATAGCATGCAATGCTGTTTGATAGCATTTTATCCACAGTAAAACTACTTTCAAAATTGTAGTCAATCTTCTCAAATCCCTCTGCTACATTAACTGAGTTTATGTTTTGGTGGGCCAAATTCAAAGGATTTTCTCCTGCTAATAAACTTCCATCATATACTAAAACCATTTGTCAACTTGTTCACTGAAGTTTTATTATGTGAAGTGTGGGAAGGTGAAGATGACCCTCCAAAGATGTCCACCTCCTAATCCTCAATACTTCTGAATATGTTACCTTACATGGCAAAAGGGACTTTGCATATGTGATTAAGTATCTTTCGACAGAGAGATTATACTGGCTGATCCAGGTGGATCTAATATAATCACAAAGATTTTTATAAAATGGAGTCAGAAGGGCCCAAGTCAGAGACAGAGATTGGAAAACTAGAAGCTAGAAAAGTTAAGGAAACGGATTCTTCCCTACAGTCTTCCTTTCAGGATTGCAGCCTGACCAACAGATTAATTTTAGCCTCGTAAGACCCATTTTAGGACTTCCATCCTCTAGAACTATAAGATATAAATTTGTGTTAAGACACTCAATTTGTAGTCATTTGTTACAGCAGTAATAGGAAATTAATATATGTGGTAACCTCATATAACAGTGAAATAGATGCTTTATTTTAAAGGTGTAGATGGAAAAAGAAAGAAATTGAATAGAAAGAAAAGAAAAGTCACAAAGCGTTGTCTTATGTCATGATATCCCACAGCAAGAACACAACCAGCTCCCAGTGGTTGAATTAAACTGCCTCACTGATCTTAAATGTATTTCAAGCATATCTACAACAGTAGGAAAATGTCATACTCCATCATTAAAATTAAATATTTTTTTTCTTTGACTACACTCTACCTGTGGCTACAATTAACTGTTCTCCCTTTACTCTGTGTTTCCTATCTCCACTCCATAACTTTCCCTCATCTTAGCTTCTGTTTCTGCATGACTTACATTAATCCTTTGTGGTTTTCACTGATGCATATATTGTGCACTGACATTTCTTTGTAATCTTCAGTTCTGCTTCCAAACACCTGTCCCTATCTCCACATGTCCAGTTCAATTTTTGGGAAAACAGCATTATAATGGTCCAGATACTACCTGATGATTTTCCATTTGGATTTGGGTTCATTGTATTTATACTTTGCTTCCACAACCTGATGATAAGAACTTTGGTGTTTAGGACCAAATATTATGCTGTATTTAATACCATTTCATAGCATAGAGCCCAGATTAGCTAGGTTTTAATTAATTACTTTGCTAATAGAATAATTAAGTATTACCATCAACACTGTCAACAAACAGGAAAATGAAAAAAATATATTTCTGCCAAATTTGTGACATCTTCAATGTCAGGTAAATATGGATACCACAAACTTAATTATTAAATATCTTTATCATTTTTCAGGCATGTGTGTGTATATATATATATATATTTTTATATTTGGAGCATTATCTATAACTTACATATAGGGTTTCAAGTTGAGCCTATATTTATATTTTCACTAACTTCCCAGTTAAAATATTTAGTCAATTAATGCTTCATTATGAATCTATTAACTTAAAAGTATCCCTTTTATTAAAGGGTATACACTTTTTAAGTCCTAATTAAGTTTATACATTTTTCTATGATCATATTTCTTTTAAATTAATGACAGCACATTGAAACACTATAGGTAACTGTATAACATGCTAACATTGATAAATATTGATGTTGATTATTTTTATTCTATTTTTCTATACTCTTCCCATGTTCTAAGGTCCTATTACATAATACTTTCAATTTCACTAATGAATAAATGATGGTTTCATTTATTAATGACAACAAATACGCCATTCAACTCTAATTTACTTTATAAACTATGTTTTATTAAGGAAAGAAAAACAGACTAAAGAATAAACTAAGATTTATACTTTTGTCATGATAAATTTTTATGAAACACAATGGAATAGCCTGCCTTACAAAGGACATATTTTATACTTATGTTTATCAAAACTTAGGTTTTGTCTACCAAATTACATTTTGCCAGAAAAAGAGCAGTAATTCACATAAAGTACTGGAGATTAGGAATGCCTTCTTATTTAGCATTTTAAATGGTAATGTATTTCTATTATTATTTATCAAGAGTACCTCTCTTCTTGCAGAGATTAAAGACCTGTACAGAAATGCATATTTTATATTATGCATATGGTTCAATTATTTCTTGGCAAGAGATTCCTCCTGAAAGGGGTTTAGGTACATTGTTGCGTATATTGTCTCTGATTGGTCATTATGCTATCATTTCATAAATAATTGATTAATTAGAATATTAAGTACATGCGACGTCCCATTTTTTTAAGGGCATAGAGACTGAAGAGATTTCACAATCTTTAAAGTTAACTGGATGAGCTAATAATGCTCACCATGCTTTTTTCAAGTAAGCAGCGCAGAAAGTGAAACAGATAGTGTTTTTACTATTGGATACAGGGCATTATTTTTTTTAATGTTTGTTCCCTTATCATGAACTACCATCTAACCATTGTTTAAGCAGTAAGAAGAACAATACCATAAACAAGAAAACTAGAGATCAAGAAAAATTCTGAAAGTAATGTGAAGAGAAAACAAGTCTTGGAGCTCTCAAATCATTAAGCTAAAGGGAAAAGTCAAGCTGGGAACTGCTTAGGGCTAACATGCCTCTCATTCTACTCAAAGTCACCCCTCTGCTCACTAAGATAAATTCACATCTGTTTGCTTCCTTTGGAAAGGCTAATTAGAAACTCAAAAGAATGCAACCATTTGTCTCTTCTCTACCTATGACTTGGAAGTCCCATCCCTGCTTCAAGTCTTCCAGCTTTTGCTTCCAGTTGTCCCGCCTTTCCAGACCAAATCAAGGTTTTTTTTACATATGTTGATTGATGTCTCATGTCTCCCTAAAATGTATAAAACCAAACTGTGCTCTGATCACCTTCAGCACAAGTCGTCAGGACCTCCTGAGGAGGCTGTGTCACGGGTGCGTGTCCTCAACCCTGGCAAGGTAAGCTTTCTAAATTACCTGAGACCTGTCTCAGATATTCGGGGTTCACAGTTAAGATACAGATAGTTATTCTCGGCTAAAGTATTTTCTCCAAGTCCCTTTTTAAATTGCCTTTTAGATGCAAGAATAAGGAACTCAAAGTGAAAAATTGCAAATAAGTAATAAAAAAGACCACATATTTTTTGTAATGTCCTCTTGATTACACTAATTAGTTTCAGTGTTTGTGGATGTTAAGAACCTCTTGCCACTCTTTACTCATTCACACAAGAATCACAGATTATGTCAAGTCCCTGTGCTAATTTGACCTATAATCCGTCTTTCTTTGAAGGATATTGTTTTTGTGCATTTATAGTCACCTAAAATCTAAATATTGAATCAAGAATATTATTTTTCTACTTGGCTCAAATTTACAGCAATGTTAATACAAAATTAATAATTTATTTTTAACTTGGTGCATTACAAAATAAGATGCAGTGTGCAAATTATAGTAGTATTATATTAACTTAAGTAACAACTAGAAACAAAACTATAAAAGTCTCTTTGAATGGTATGATGTTTTTCTCTATTGAGAAACCAAAATTTTAATCAGCAATAATATTAATATGCCTGCTAATATTTAATTATAAGTTTTTAGGAAACATAACAAGAAACATTTAAATGCATGTTTACATATAATTATTTAAATAATTTCATGAGATAGATCCTGTGAATTAAAGCTCAGAAAAATTTATGTAAACAGTGTGGCTTATTAGTGTGACTGGAGCTGTGTGAGTAAAGAGAAAGGATGGCAGATGAGGTAGAGATGAGGTCAGAGAAGTGGCTGTTGCATTGAAAATAGAATGCAGTACAAGTATAAAATAGATCACTGAAAAGGTTATTGTAATAATCCAAGTAAAAGAAGATAATAGCTGAGGCATGTGTGGTAAAAATGGACAGAAACTGGAAATATTCTGAAGGTGCCTCCTACCAGAATTACTGCTTATATTTGGAATGTAGGAAAACAAAGAGACAAAGGTAATCCTGACTTTTTTTGCCCTCAAATAATAGGAAAGATGGAATTCCCTTTAACTTGGGTGGGAGAGATTTCAAAGGAGCAGGTTTGTGAAGTTAGGTCATGTCCATGGGTTGTGAGCCCTAAAGACTGGAGCTGCTAATGTTTGTTATCATGGGAAGAAAACTGCCTGAAAACGAAACCAACACAGAGGGTAGCAGAAGTGTGAGATAGACGGTGAAGAATTCCCATTGGCTTTCACAAATTTATCACAAAATTACCTTTTATTAGTATCACCTTTACTTGCTAGGTTGTAGCCACACTGACCTGCCTTCCAGTTTTCTAACAGGTAAATCTCACTTTAGGGCTTTCGCACTTGCTGTTTTATTTGACCGAACTGTGTACCTCCCCACCACTTCTTTACGCCACCCTTTGATCACCCTTCAGATATAAACATAAACTCCGAGAGCTATGATTCACATTGCTTCACTTCCCAATCTAAAGTAGAACACTCTGTCACCTCTTATCTTCACAGACTCTGCCTTCTAGTATATATATACACGTGCATGAATTTATTTGTATATACATATATTATATACATTCATTATAGTTATGCTTTTATGTATATGCTCATTTTATTAACACACGTTTATTATGTGTTTTTTAATCATTTAAATTTGCTGATTTAATCTGAACACAATGAACTTACTGCTATATTTTAAGAAATGATCACAGCCCTTTGAACACAGAAAATGTAAACAAACTAATTTGCTTTGGTGATTTTTCTGTTTTTCCTTTAGTAATCATCTTATACTTTATTATTTATTCAGGGATCTTAATATTGTTAACCAAATTTTGACACTTCCTTTTCTTTTAAGATAACACAGCATAACTCTGCTTTGATTTTGTATATTTAGATCTACCATTTTGCTGTAGAAGATACTTTTGTTTTCACTATCCAGATTTATGCAAACATCAATTCGAATAATTTGAAAAGCAGCTTTCTAATGCAGGCTGATTCCATCATCATTTGAATTTTAAATCTACATTCTTCGATGTGACTAAAAACTTCAATGCATACCCTTCACCTTACCCTATGGAGTGTATAGTGGTGACACATTAGGGTGGTGAATGAGTATTTTCAAAATGCAAATTATTTAAAACAGTCCAAATCATGCCTAAACCTTTACTGGTAGAATTGCGTAATTTACCAGTAGAAAATACTGACTTTTTCTCCAATGTAACCTGGTCATTAATCAAAGATGAAAATAGTTAAGAGACTGTAGAGTTATTTCTAAAGTTATGCCTCTAGATAAGGAGATGTTTAATTTATTTTTTTAATTTTTACCATTTTATACTTTATTACTGAAAACTTGAGGATCATTTCAGATAATGATAACATGCAATTTTTTTTTATTTTTATTTTATTATTATTATACTTTAAGTTTTAAGGTACATGTGCACAATGTGCAGGTTAGTTACATATGTATACATGTGCCATGCTGCTGTGCTGCACCCATTAACTCGTCATTTAGCATTAGGTATATCTCCTAATGCTATCCCTCCCCCCCTCCCCCCACCCCACAACAGTCCCCAGAGTGTGATGTTCCCCTTCCTGTGTCCATGTGTTCTCATTGTTCAATTCCCACCTATGAGTGAGAATATGCGGTGTTTGGTTTTTTTGTCCTTGCGATAGTTTACTGAGAATGATGATTTCTAATTTCATCCATGTCCCTACAAAGGACGTGAACTCATCCTTTTTAATGGCTGCATAGTATTCCATGGTGTATATGTGCCACATTTTCTTAATCCAGTCTATCATTGTTGGACATTTGGGTTGGTTCCAAGTCTTTGCTATTGTGAATAGTGCCGCAATAAACATACGTGTTCATGTGTCTTTATAGCAGCATGATTTATAGTCCTTTGGGTATATACCCAATAATGGGATGGCTGGGTCAAGTGGTATTTCTAGTTCTAGATCCCTGAGGAATCGCCACACTGACGTCCACAATGGTTGAACTAGTTTGCAGTCCCACCAACAGTGTAAACGTGTTCCTATTTCTCCACATCCTCTCCAGCACCTGTTGTTTCCTGACTTTTTAATGATTGCCATTTTAACTGGTGTGAGATGGTATCTCACTGTGGTTTTGATTTGCATTTCTCTGATGGCCAGTGATGATGAGCATTTTTTCATGTGTTTTTTGGCTGCATAAATGTCTTCTTTTGAGAAGTGTCTGCTCATGTCCTTCACCCAGTTTTTGATGGGGTTGTTTGTTTTTTTGTTGTAAATTTGTTTGAGTTCATTGTAGATTCTGGATATTAGCCCTTTGTCAGATGAGTAGGTTGTGAAAATTTTCTCCCATTTTGTAGGTTGCCTGTTCACTCTGATGGTAGTTTCTTTTGCTGTGCAGAAGCTCTTTAGTTTAATTAGATCCCATTTGTCAATTTTGGCTTTTGTTGCCATTGCTTTTGGTGTTTTAGACATGAAGTCCTTGCCCATGCCTATGTCCTGAATGGTAATGCCTAGGTTTTCTTCTAGGGTTTTGATGGTTTTAGGTCTAATGTTTAAGTCTTTAATCCATCTTGAATTAATTTTTGTATAAAGTGTAAGGAAGGGATCCAGTTTCAGCTTTCTACATATGGCTAGCCAGTTTTCCCAGCAGCATTTATTAAATAGGGAATCCTTTCCCCATTGCTTGTTTTTCTCAGGTTTGTCAAAGATCAGATAGTTGTAGATATGTGGCATTATTTCTGAGGGCTCTGTTCTGTTCCATTGATCTATATCTCTGTTTTGGTACCAGTATCATGCTGTTTTGGGTACTGTAGCCTTGTAGTATAGTTTGAAGTCAGGTAGCGTGATGCCTCCAGCTTTGTTCTCTTGGCTTAGGATTGACTTGGCAATGTGGGCTCTTTTTTGGTTCCATATGAACTTTAAAGTAGTTTTTTCCAATTCTGGGAAGAAAGTCATTGGTAGCTTGATGGGGATGGCATTGAATCTATAAATTAACTTGGGCAGTATGGCCATTTTCACAATATTGATTCTTCCTATCCATGAGCGTGGAATGTTCTTCCATTTGTTTGTATCCTCTTTTATTTCATTGAGTAGTGGTTTGTAGTTCTCCTTGAAGAGGTCCTTCACGTCCCTTGTAAGTTGGATTCCTAGGTATTTTATTCTCTTTGAAGCAATTGTGAATGGGAGTTCACTCATGATTTGGCTCTCTGTTTGTCTGTTATTGGTGTATAAGAATGCTTGTGATTTCTGTACATTGATTTTTTATCCTGAGACTTTGCTGAAGTTGCTTATCAGCTTAAGGAGATTTTGGGCTGAGACTATGGGGTTTTCTAGATATACAGTCATGTCATCTGCAAACAAGGACAATTTGACTTCCTCTTTTCCTAATTGAATACCCTTTATTTCCTTCTCCTGCCTAATTGCCCTGGACAGAACTTCCAACACTATGTTGAATAGGAGTGGTGAGAGAGGGCATCTCTGTCTTGTGCCAGTTTTCAAAGGGAATGCTTCCAGTTTTTGCCCATTCAGTATGATATTGGCTATGGGTTTGTCATAGATAGCTCTTATTATTTTGAGATACGTCCTATCAATACCTAATTTATTGAGAGTTTTTAGCATGAAGCGTTGTTGAATTTTGTCAAAGGCCTTTTCTGCATCTATTGAGATAATCATGTGGTTTTTGTCTTTGGTTCTGTTTATATGCTGGATTACATTTATTGATTTGCGTATACTGAACCAGCCTTGCATCCCAGGGATGAAGCCCACTTGATCATGGTGGATACCTTCTCCTGAATGACTACTGGGTACATAACGAAATGAAGGCAGAAATAAAGATGTTCTTTGAAACCAACGAGAACAAAGACACAACATACCAGACTTTCTGGGACACATTCAAAGCAGTGTGTAGAGGGAAATTTATAGCACTAAATGTCCACAAGAGAAAGCAGGAAAGATCCAAAATTGACACCCTAACCTCACAATTAAAAGAACTAGAAAAGCAAGAGCAAACACATTCAAAAGCTAGCAGAAGGCAAGAAATAACTAAAATCAGAGCAGAAATGAAGGAAATAGAGACACAAAAAACCCTTCAAAAAATTAATGAATCCAGGAGCTGGTTTTTTGAAAGGATCAACAAAATTGATAGACTGCTAGCAAGACTAATAAAGAAGAAAAGAGAGAAGAATCACATAGACGCAATAAAAAATGATAAAGGGGATATCACCACCGATCCCACAGAAATACAAACTACCATCAGAGAATACTACAAACACCTCTCCGCAAATAAACTAGAAAATCTAGAAGAAATGGATAAATTCCTCGACACATACACCCTCACAAGACTAAACCAGGAAGAACTTGAATCTGTAAATAGACCAATAACAGGCTCTGAAATTGTGGCAATAATCAATAGCTTACCAACCAAAAAGAGTCCAGGACCAGATGGATTCACAGCCGAATTCTACCAGAGGTACAAGGAGGAACTGGTACCATTCCTTCTGAAACTATTCCAATCAATAGGAAAAGAGGGAATCCTCCCTAACTCATTTTATGAGGCCAGCATCATCCTGATACCAAAGCCGGGCAGAGACACAACCAAAAAAGAGAATTTTAGAACAATATCCTTGATGAACATTAATGCAAAAATCCTCAATAAAATACTGGCAAACTGAATCCAGGAGCACATGAAAAAGCTTAACATGCAATTTTTGAGAACATTATTCTTTTTACCTCTCACCCTTGTCCACGTATTTGTCAACTATTAAGAATTCTTTCCCCTGGTGTTAACAATTATGAGGTCTCCTATGAACCCACAATAAGTTATGTGGGAAATACAACGGGGAGTAAGATGGACTCTCAATTCTGACTTTGAGTTGCTAACAATATTGAAGGGAAAGGGGGACCATGAGGGAAATTTGTATCAGGAAAAGGCACAAAGTATTAAAGTGTTAAATGAGTTGAATAGGGCACAGGAGCAACAACAGAAACAAAATTTAATAAGGAAACTTTAAAAAGTTAAATTATAGGAAACCTTAACAGTGATGATTGTATTTAGAAATTCCATATGTCTCTCTTTTCTTGACACAATGTATATAACAAATACAGAAAACTGTCAGTATAAATGAAGTGAGCTGTTGCCCTACGACCAGCACAAGAAAACTGTCTCACTTTTTTTTTTTTTTCCACTTTAAGTTCTGGGATACATGTGCAAAACGGGCAGGTTTGTTACATAGGTATACAAGTGCCATGGTGGTTTGCTGTACCTATCAACCTGTTATCTAGGTTTTAAGCCTCATATGCATTAGGTATTTGTCCTCATGCTCTCCCTCTCCTTGACCCCCACCCCCCGACAGGCCTGGGTATGTGATGTTCCCCTCTCTGTGTCCATGTGTTCTTGTTGTTCAATTCCCACTTATGAATGAGAACATGTGGTGTCTGGTTTTCTCCTCCTATGTTAGTCTGCTTAGAATGGTGGTTTCCAGCTTCAATCATATCCCTGTAAAGGACACATGAACTCATTCTTTCTTTCTTTCTTTTTTTTTTTTTTTTTTTTTTTTTGAGACAGAGTTTCGCTCTGTTGCCCAGGCTGGAGTGCAGTGGCGCGATCTCAGCTCACTGCAAGCTCCGCCTCCTGGGTTCACGCCATTCTCCTGCCTCAGCCTCCCAAGTAGCTGGGACTACAGGCGCTCGCCACCACGCCCGGCTAATTTTTTGTATTTTTAGTAGAGACGGGGTGAACTCATTCTTTCTTATGACTGCATATTATAAAAAATAAAAATAAAAATAAAAAAATAAAAACCTACTCTTTTTTTTTTCTCTGAAAACACTTATTTTTGAATAGAGTTTTTTGTTGTTTCAAGACACATTGAACATACCTCTAAATTGTATGAAATGACATTTTTCATCCATATAGATAAAATATTGTGATAAAATATATTTGTATATTCTAATTTAGGTTATGTCAATATCTTATATTCACATTTGTGAATGCTTGTCATGCAACATATTCTGTATTATTCTTAATAAATGAGTTGAATGTAAAATTATTCAGTATTTTGGTATTTAAAATGAGGTAGTTTTATTATATAGTCTGACAGCTTTTTGTCAATGAAAGAAAATTTTATTAATTGAAGTGTGTAGCTGTTCAGGTTTAATAATTCAAATATTAATAGAAATGTAAGATCTTATAATATGATTAGCAATTTTTAATCAATATAAGAAGATACTGATTGTGTATTAACAGTTATTTCCATAGAAAGGAAGTACAATTTAAGGTAACCAATGTAAAAAATTGAGTGTACTTTGGGTTTGATAAAAAGGAATACATTGAAATTAATGATATTTGAGGAGATTCACATAAGTTAGGCAATTTACTGAGTCCATCTTTGTACTTCCATATCCCTTGTCTCTGAACGGGATTTAGAGATATGAAACTTCTTGAGATTTCTTGACTCTGGCCACTGATTCCAGACACATGGAAACATGATCAAGAGAGATATCAACAGATTTAGTACTTCAGCTTCCTCTTCCTCCCCATTCCACACAACCCACTGCCTCATGTAGTAGATGATAAATACGTATTTTTAATTCTCACAATATATTGGAGAAAAGAGACTTGAAAACTCATAATGCAGTCATGTCCACATAAGAAAATGCTTTTAAATATTTCTCTTGTTGCAACAAATGTTTATGACAACTATAAATGGCCTATGTTTGTGATAACAGCTTGCAGAAACCACAGGTCCTGACTCTCCCCTGAATTATATCATAGAAATGCAATACCTGTTTTCATAACCTCTCTGCTCAGGTCATTTATGGGAAGAACAAAATTGGGAAAGTACATTTTTTTTTTTAACTCAAAACCTACCACGGTTAAATCTCTAATCTATAAGCACAGAAACAAAGATGAACACTTGGACTCTACCTTCAAAGAGCTTAGAGTTCAGTAGAGATGATAAAAGGTGCACACAGAGAGCTGCAATACAGACAAGATTTCAAGAGGCTATGTGCTGTACAAAAGTTACAAAGAAAATGATGGTTTCAAACACTCCATTGTGACCATCTTTGCAGGCATGTGAAGACATACAGCCGAGATAATGTAGGGATGTGTACAGGGTATCAATTTGCAGTAAGTTTTGGAGTTTTTTAATTCCAAAAATTTTTGAAATTTGCTGACAAAATGTCATTTTAAGTACTGCTGAATTATATAGATGCAAAGAAAGAGAAATAGTTAATATGTCAATGATGTATTCTTAAACATATAAAACTCAAATTCCTAAGTAATGACTCAGCCTTCACAATTATGACTTTTTAACATATGGATCGTTACTGACTTCATCTTAATTGATATGACAATTTTCTGTACATTCTGTGGCAGCATTTGGCATTGTGGTTTTATTCAGAATGAATAACTCAAGTATCTGACATCTTAATGTGGGGACATCTGTCAGTCTAAACTAAAACTGATCATTGAATTTTTAGCAACAAAATATTTATAGCTTATAAGTGATAGAATGTAAAATAATCTCTGAAATAATTTAATCATTTTCTATAAATTATGTATTCATGTCATAAACAATATGCTATGTCAGCATGCACAGTATATAATAAACCTCTTTTTCTTATACATATTTACTACACAATAAAATGTATTACCCACAATTTTGTGTTGCACGAATATACTTTTCCTCTTGTTGAATTGCAAGCAATTTTTTATCCTTCTTTGGTGAAACAAGATAAAATGGACCTTCCTCTTGGCTAATTCCCAAACATTCTATACTTCCATTACTACATGTACAATGTTTGATCCACAAATAAATATCTTGTGAATATTGCTAATAATATTTCTATGATTTTTTTCACCAACTTTCAAAACAGCACATTGTTGAAATTAACAATAGTAATGGTTGACAAAAATGTCATTAGGGATTCTCAAATAAATCAGAGGTTAAGAGTCTTTTAATTAACTACACGTCTCCTTTTCTTCCCATTTTTAGATCACGGCTTCAGTCAGCCACTTTTACTGACAGGAATGCATTTTATTCCTTAGTTGTTTCATGTAGAGGGATAGTCAAATGACTGAGAATCATTGCATTATTATACATTAAACAGAATTTCATATTTAGTAAAAATAAGTCATTCTCTTTTGATGCCATAATATTTAGGCAATTTTCATAGACAAGAAAAGTCTACAGAAATTATTTTTTCCCATTCCAAAAGCTGGTCATATGGATGAAATAATCCTTTTTATTCATTCTTGGCCTTTGAAGTTATACACTAAGCTCTTAGGAAAATGTAGATGTTGGAATTGTGTATTAAGAATTGAGTATGGTCAAAATGTAATTATTGAATTAACATTGGACATACACATAGAAGGCATGGTGTGAGAACAAAATCTGCATTTTCTACTGACAATGATGTAAATGTTTCATGGCCCATATTTGGAGAAATATTGTCATTGAAGCTGCATAGGTCTTTGGATTAATACTGTTTGGTTTTGGACCCTGAGTCCGCCAATTTTTCAGATAAGCCAACTCAGGCATTACTTATTTAGTGTTGCTAAGTCTCAGTTAATTCAACTGCAAGCCAGTTATAATATGCTTTCTATTTCACAGAGTCGCAGTGAGGATGCATTGAGGTTATGCATGCAAAGCATTTGGCCCAGAGACTGGTACTAGGAGAGACTGATTAAGTTATCTCGTCATCATCATCACCATCATCATAGGATCAACATGCTAAAACTCCATATTAAAAATATTTAAGGTATGAGAGATACAGCAGATCACGGCGGACAGCAGGCAGGACTAGACTGCAGCTCCAGACAGCGCAGTATGCAGAGGCTTGCATTGTGAATTTTAGCACCAGATTGACTGCAAAAACAAACCAGCAACCCAGAGAGGACCCACAGACCCTCTGAAGGAAGCAGACTGCTCCTGCAAGACCAGGGAGACATCCCAAATACTGTGAGTGCCCCAACTGCAGAAGTGGGAAAGAGACCCTCCTTTCCCAAACACACACCCCCACCGGAGAAGCTGAAGGTCTGTTTGCTGGAGACGTTCTCGACTTACCTGGAGCTGAGTCAAATTAGAGAGCCGAGGTGATTGAAATACAGGGGTGGAGGAGGTAGCTGGGAGGCCCTGGGAGCTCACTGAATCCCCATAGCCCATTCCTGCCTGCCTGGCACCACAGGGATCCATCAGGAGGGTGGCCAGAGGAGCAGGGGGTAAAACCCCACCGGGAGAAGGACTTCCCCACCTGAACTTTGTAACAATTTGAGCAGGGAGAGAAGCCTCCTGGCCAGAACGCAGGAGAGGGTGTGAATCTGGCTTGCAGACTTCACAGGTGAGGGAAGAACTGAAGCCCTTTTCTTTTGCAGCTGGGAGGTGGAAAGCCTCGGACAAGTTTTTAAGCCCGCTCTCCGCCTGGAAACAGGCTGTGGGTGGCACTGTGGGAGTGAGACCAGCTCTTCGGTTTGCGTGGGAGCTGGGTGAGGCCTGTGATTGCCGGCTTTTCCCCTCTTCCCGGACAACCTGCATGACTCAGCAGGAGCAGCGGTAATCCTCCTAGGTACACAGCTCTGGTGACCTGGGAATCTCACAGCAGCCACAGCAAGACCCGCCCAAGGAGAGTCTGAACTCAGACACACCTAGCCCTGCCCCAACCTGATGGTCCTTCCCTACCCACCCTGGTACTGGAAGACAAAGGACATATAACCTTAGGAGTTCTAGGGCCCTGCGCCCTACTGGTCCCTCTCCGCATTACTACAGCTCATGCTTTCTGGAAAGCGCCACCTCTTGGCAGGAGGTCAACCAGCACAAAAATAGAGCATTAAACCACCAAAGCTAAGAACCCTCACGGAGCCAGCACCCTCTGCCACCCCCACCAGAACAGGTGCTGGTATCCACAGCTGAGAAACCCATAGACAGTTCACATCACAAGACTCTGTGCAGAAATCCCCAGCACCAGCCAGGAGCTGGGTAGGCTTGCGGGGTGGCTAGACCCAGAAGAGAGACAACAATCACTGCAGTTAGACTCACAGGAAGCCGCATCCATAGGAAAAGGAGGAGAGTACAACATCAAGGGGACACCCCATGAGACAAAAAAATCTGAACAACAGTCTTCAGCCCTAGACCTTCCCTCTGACAGAGCCTATCCGAATGGGAAGGAACCAGAAAACCAACCTTGGTAATATGATAAAATAAGGATCATCAACACCCCCCAGAAATCACTCTAGTTCACCAGCAATGGATCTAAACCAAGAAGAAATCCCTGACATACCTGAAAAAGAATTCAGGAGGTTAGTTATTAAGCTAATCAGGGAGGGACCAGAGAAAGGCGAAGCCCAGTGCAAGTAAATCCAAAAAATGATACAAGAAGTGAAGGGAGAAATAGTCAATGAAATAGATAGCTTAAAGAAAAAACAATCAACAATTCAGGAACTTTTGGACACAATTTTAGAAATGCAAAGCTTTGGAAAGTCTCAGCAATAGAATTAAACAAGTAGAAGAAAGAAATTCAGAGCTCGAAAACAAGGTTTTTGAACTAACTCAATCCAACAAAGACAAAGAAAAAAGAATAAGAAAATGTGAACAAAGCCTCCAAGAAGTTTGGGATTATGTTAAATGACCATGCCTAAGAATATTCGGTGTTACTGAGGAAGAAGAGAATTCTAAAAGCTTGGAAAACATATTTGGGGGAATAATCAAGGAAAACTTCCCAGGTCTTGTGAGAGACCTAGATAGCCAAACACAAGAAGCACAAAGAACACCTGGGAAATTCATCACAAAAAGATCTTCACCTAGGCACGTTGTCATCCGGTTATCCAAAGTTAGGAAGAAGGAAAGAATCTTAAGAGCTGTAAGACAGAAGCACCAGGTAACCTATAAAGGAAAACCTATCAAATTAACAGCAGATTTCTCAGCAGAAACCCTCCAAGTTAGAAGGGATTGGGGCCCTATCTTCAACCACCTCAAACAAAACAATCTTCAGCCAATAATTTTGTATCCAGCAAAACTAAGTATCATATATGAAGGAAAGATACAGTCATTTTTCAGACAAATGAAAACTGAGAGAATTCTCCATTTCCAAGCCACCACTATGAGAACTGCTAAAAGGAGCTCTAAATCTTCAAACAAATCCTGGAAACACATCAAAACAGAATCTCTTTAAAGCATAAAGCACACAGGATCTATAAAACAAAGATACAAGTTAAAAGGCAAAAGCAAAAAACCAAAAAATAAAAATAAAAAACAATGAAGGCAACAAAAAGCATGATGAATGCAACAGTACCCCAAATTTCAATACTAACATTGACTATAAATAGCCTAAATGCTCCACTTAAAAAATACAGAACTGTAGAATGGTTAAGAACTCACCAACCAACTAGCTGCTGCTTTCAGGAGGCTCACCTAACACATAAGGACTCACATAAACTTAAAGTAAGGGGGTAGAAAAAGGCATTTCATGCAGTTGGATACTGAAAGTGAAGAAGGGGTAGCTATTCTTGTATCAGACAAAACAAACTTTAAAACAACAGTGGTTAAAAGAGACAAAAAGGGACATTACATAATGGTAAAAGGCCTTGTCCAACAGCAAAATATCACAATCCTAAACATATATGCACCTAACACTGGAGGTCCCAAATTTATAAAACAATTACTAACAGACCTAAGGAATAAGATAGACAGCAACACAAAAATAGAGGGGGACTTCAGTACTCCACTGACAGCACTAGAGAGGTCATCAAGACAGAAAGTCAAGAACAACAACAAAAAACAATGGATTTAAACTATACCTTGGAAGAAATGGACTTAACAGGTATGTACAGAACACTTCATCCAACACCTGCAGAATGCTCATTCTATTCAACAGCCCATGGAACTTTCTCCAAGATAGTCCATATGACAGGCCATACAATAAGCCTCAATAAATTTAATAAATTTGAAATTATATCAAGCATTCTCTCACACCACAGTGGAATAAAACTGGAAATCAAATCGAAAAGCAACCCTCAAAACCATGAAAATACATGGAAATTAAGTAACCTGCTCTTGCATAAGCATTGGGTCAAAAACAAAATCAAGATGGAAATTAAAAAATTATTTGAGCTGAATGACAATAATGACACAACCTATCAACACCTCTGGGATACAGCTAAGGTAGTGCTAAAAGGAAAGTTCATAGCTTTAAATGCCTACATCAAAAAGTCTGAAAGAGCAAAAGCAGACAATCTAAGGTCACACCTCAAGGAACTAGAGAAACAAGAAGAAACCAAACCCAAACCCAGCAGAAGAAAGGAAATAACCAACATCAGAGCAGAGAGAAACAAAATTGAAACAAACAAACAAACAAGCAAACAAAAAAGTACAAAAGATAAATGAAACAAAAAGCTGGTTCTTTGAAAAGATAAATAAGATTAATAGACCATTAGCAAGATTAACCAAGAAAAAATAGAGAAAATCCAAATAACCTCACTGAGATATGAAACAGGGGATATTACAACTGACACCACTGAAATACAAAAGATCATTCAAGGCTACTATGAACACCTTTACACACATAAACTAGAAAACCTAGAAGAGATGGATAAATTCCTGGAAAAATACAATCCTCCTAGCTTAAATCAAAAAGAATTAGATACCCTGAACAGCCGAATAGCAACCAGCGAGATTGAAATGGTAATTAAAAAATTACCACCACAGAAAAGTCCAGTACCAGACGGATTCACAGCAGAATTCTACCAGAAATTCAAAGAATTGGTACCAATTTTTTTTGACAATATTACCCAAAAGAGAGAAAGAAGGAACCCTCCCTAATTCATTCTGTGAAGCCACCATCACCTAAATACCAAAACCGGGAAAAGACACAACCAAAAAAGAAAAATATAGACTGATATCCTTGATGAATATAGATGCTAAAATCATTAACAAAATAATAGCTAACTGAATCCAATAACATATCAAAAAGATAATCCACCATGATCAAGTGGGTTTCATACCAGGGATGCAGGGATGCTTTAACATACACAAATAAATAAATGTGATTCAACACATCAACAGAATTAAAAACAAAAATCACACAATCATCTCAATAGATGCAGAAAAATCATTCAACAAAATCCAGCATCCCTTTGTGATCAAAACCCTCAGCAAAATCGGCATACAAGGGTTATACCTTAATGTAATAAAAGCCATCTATTACAAACCCACAGCCAAAAAAGTACTGAATGGGGAAAAGTTAAAAGCATTCCCCCTGAGAACGGGAACAAGGCAAGGATGCCCTCTGTCACCACTCCTCTTCAACGTAGTACTGCAAGCCTTAGTCAGAGCAATCAGACAAGAGAAAGAGACAAACGGCATCCAAATCAGTATAGAGGAAGTCAAACTGTCCCTGTTTGCCGATGATATGTTCATTTACATTGAAAACCCTAAGGACTCCTCCAGAAAACTCCTAGAATGGATCAAAGAATTCAGCAAAGTTTCCAGATATGAGATTAATGTACACAAATCAGTAGCTCTTCTATACACCAACAGTGACCAAGTGGTGAATCAAATCAAGAACTCAACCCCTTTTATAATAGCTGCAAAAAAAAAAAAAATACTTAGGAATATACAAAACAAAGGAGTCAAAAGACCTCTACAAGGAAAACTACAAAACACTGCTAAAATAAATCATAGATGACACAAACAAATGGAAACACATCCCATTCTCATGGATGGGTAGAATCAATATTGTGAAAATGACCATACTGCCAAAAGCAATCTACAAATTAAATGGAATCCCCATCAAAATACCACCATCATTCCTCACAAAGTTAGAAAAAACAATTCCAAAATACATATAGAACCAAAAAAGAGCCCACATAGCCAAAGCAAGACCATGCAAAAAGAACAAATCTGGAGGCATCACATTACCTGATTTCAAACTATACTATAAGGCGATGGTCACCAAAACAGCATGGTACTGGTATAAAAATAGGCACATAGATCAATGGAACATAATGGAGAACCCAGAAAAAACCCAAATACTTACAGCCAACTGATCTTTGATGGAGGAAACAAAAACATGGAGAAAGGACACCCTTTTCAACAAATGTTGCTGGGATAATTTGCTAGCCACATGTAGGAGAATGAAACCGGATCCTCATCTCTCACCTTGTACAAAAAATCAACTCAAGATGGATTAAGGACTTAAACCCAAGACCTGAAACTATAAAAATTCTAGAAGATAACATTAGAAAAACCCTTCTAGACAATGGCTTAGGCAAGGATTTCATGACCAAAAACCCAAAAGCAATTGCAATAAAAACGAGATAAATAGCTGGGACTTAATTAAACTAAAGAGCTTTTGCAAGGCAAAAGGAAGAGTCAGCAGAGTAAACAGACAACCCACAGAGTGGAAGAAAATCTTCACAATCTATAAATCTGACAGAGGACTAATATCCAGAACCTACAACAAACTCAAACAAATCAGTAAGAAAAAAAAATCAATCCTTTTGAAAAGTGAGCTAAGGACATGAATAGACAATTCTCAAAAGAAGATATACAAATGGCCAGCAAACATATGAAAAAAATGCTCAACATGACTAATGATCAGGGAAATGCAAATCAAAACCACAATGCAATACCACTTTATGCCTGTAAGAATGGCATAATCAAAAAATCAAAAAACAGTAGATGTTGGTGTGGATGGTTCTACACTGCTAGTGGAAATGTAAACTAGTACAGCCACTTTGAAAAACAGTGTGGAGATTCCTTAAAGAACTAAAAGTAGAGCTACCATTTGATCTAGCAATCCCACTACTGAGTATCTACCCCAGAAAAAGAAGTCATTATTCAGAAAAGATACTTGCACACGCATGTTTATAGCAGCACAGTTCACAATAGCAAAATCGTGGAACCAACCCAAATGTCCATCAATCAACGAGTGGATAAAGAAACTCTGTTATGTATATATGATGGAATACTACTCAGCCATAAAAGGAATGAATTAACATTTGCAATGATCTGGATGAGATTGCAGACTATTATTCTAAGTGAAGTAATTCAGGAATGGAAAACTAAACATTGTATATTCTCACTGAAATGTGGGAGCTAAGTTCTGAGGATGCAAAGGCATAAGAATGATGCAATGGACTTTGGGGACTTGTGGGGAAGAGTGGGAGGGGGCAAGGGATAAAACAACAAATATGGTGCAGTGTATACTCCTTGGTGATGGGTGTGCCAGGTTCTCACAAATCTCCACTAAAGAACTTACTCATGTAACCAAATACCACCCATACCCCAATAACTTAGGGAAAAACAATTTTTTTAAACAAAGATAAGAAATTTCTCTTAATGTTTTACTATTTATTTGATAATATACTATTTAAAATTTATTTAAATTTTCATAGTATTTACAATTACACTTGCTTTATTTGAGTTTTGTTTGGGGTAGATTATTTTGTTTCCCTAAGACATGAAATCTTTAAAGCTATTTTACTAAACCAATTTGCACTGGATAGTGACAGAAGGCAGGTAAATGCCTAGGCAGAGAGAGGAGTACCTGGTGAAACCCCAGTCCGAGACAAAGACAGTTTAAAGCCTGAAAGCCAAGCTAAAAGTTAAATCCTCAGACCTGATTGAGAATTTGTCCTCCTGTTTGGCGTGCTTTCCTCTGATTGATTTCCACCCTTCATCTATTTTACATATACCTGTCTTTTCCTAATTGGTTTTCTACACTGTCACACTCACCTTTGAGTGGCGTTTTCACTTTAGCCTTTTTGCATATTCACAAACCAACCAGCATGTACTCCCCATCCTGGGCCTATAAGAGCCCAGATTCTACCAGTAGAGAGAAGATGACCTGACTTTGGAAAAAAGACAACCTGACTTCGGTGAAGACAATCTGCCCTTCCTATCCCCTCTCCAGCTCCCCTCTCCACTGAGAGCCATTTTCATTTCTCAGAAAATTCTCTGCCTTCACCATCCTTCAGCCACCCATGTGACCATCTTCTTGGACACTGGACAAGAGCTTGTGACCCGTTAAATCTGGGTACACAGAAAGGCTGTCACACCGGCCTTTTTCCTTTGCCTATGGAGGGTAGCCACTTCACATGATGGGGCAAGGGGTCAACTGAGCTGCTAACACATTGCTGTCCATGGATGGCAGAACTAAGGGAGCACTGCAACACCACCTCTGGGGCTTCGGTGTCGTGGGCACCCTCCCTTGGGTGCCACTGCATCCCCCCAGAGGCTACATGCCTGGTCTGGCTGGGGTACCCGTGCAGAGCTTGTTCCTATATTGGTGCCTGGATCCCACACCTGCTCAACTCATGTGCTTCCTCCTATGAGGGGTTGAGCCCACAGGCCAGGTAGGGGGGTGCCCCTCCAGGGAGTTCAGTGAAGGGGCTGAGAAAAATCCTGAATCACATTTTTATAAATGTTGCAGATTGCTAAGCCATTTTAGGAGAGGAAAAAAAATTAAATTATGACTGTCTGGAAAAATCCATCTGAAATATCTAAGATGAGTGAGCAACTTATCTTTGTAAATAAATTTATATTTCCTTTCTTATGATAAAAGTAAACACTCCAAGGCTGGTAGAAGCTCTTCTACAAAGAGGACCCACATAGATAGCTCTTACTCTCCTGTTATGCCACACATGAGGCCATTGAAAATTTAAAGAGGTACTCTGATTACTTAGCTAAACTGTCTATGTCCAGCAATTTTGTCTAACAATAAGGAAAAAGCTATCTGAAACACCTAACTTAAACATAGGTCTCAGGGGAAATCTTTAGCCTTCAAATCAACAATGGGCAAATCAATGTTTAAGATTGATGTTTCATCCAGGGTTATTGAAAGTAGGTGTTGTGTTGCTTCTAGGGGTTTATTTGATTAAATGTTCTAGGTGTTCCACCCATTTTTTTCACTCTTAGAGCATTTATTCTCACAACACATTCTCAGAAGTTAACACTCTTAAGGCAGAAGTAAGACATACACCCTCAGTTTCCCATGTGATTTGTGTGAAGAGATGCTTTTTGAACTATACCCAACCCTGGAAATCCTGATATCCTTCTAAATTGGGTTTTCCACTACTAACATTTTTATTCTATGCCCTCAAAAATCATATTCTTTAAAGGACACTAGAGGCACCCTGAGGTCATGCAACAGCTTGATTGCCTGTTGGTTTTATGGTATATACATTGGTCAAAACTTATTAAACTATACAATTAAGATTATGCATAAATGCCCCATAAATAAATCTTCTTCAATTGAAAAAAAAGCATGGGTTGTGTTGGTATGGTTTATTTGCATTTTAAGATAGACTTTTGCACTTGCCATTTATTTTTTATTAACAGAGACATAAATATGTGCTCACTTCTTCTAGGTAAATCAAAAGGAATGAAGCTTGAAGTCTGGAATATGTAGCATCATTTTCACCTAGTAGCAGTATATTACTATTGCAAGATTGAGATTGACGAGAAATTTCAGCACAAAGCTGAAAACAGTGAAAAATCATGGTTTCACAATGATATAGCCATCTTTTAATTACCAGGGTTTCAGATTTCTTGTATTATCTCGGGACCAACGTATGCTTTAATCTCTACAAAGAGCGTCTAGAGTTTAAAGAGGCCTAATAAACATTTTACATCACCCGAATGTTTCTAACAGATTGAGAAAAAAGGCAAAAAAGTACAAAATGTCAGTTTTATAAGCCTATCTTGATTGATAGAGTTAAGTGAGATCATGTGGGCTTAGTATCGGCTGAGCTTCCATCCAGGCCTGGCAGAACTCACCTGGGGAAGAGTTTAAGTCTGAAGAGCAAGTGCTCCTGTTTTGTTTTCTGTTTTACACTGGTTTGAGATGGAGATGGAAGAAGAAATAAAATCCCCAGTGTTTATATTGTTTGGTAGATTAGCTCTGTCAAATAGAAAAATGCATACCAACAGATTTTGTCCAACAACCAGGTAATTGCTTACGTCTGTGTGGATAAAAGTAAGAAGTGGAGAAAGGGAGAAGTGTTTAGGGAACATTAAAATCCAAAGGATGGAGGTGGGTCATTTCCCATTTAAAAATAATTAAAAGTCGTATACTGAAAATATGTGAAATTAGAATATGATTTTAGGCATCACTGCCCTCTGTCCCTGACTTAACATTATACAGATCACGATCATCAGATTTTAGTGACCTGCAAATATGTCAAAATTGTCCTTTGCTGACTTAGATTTTGTTTTATGTTCATATACTACAAAAACATCAATATAAAAAATAAAATTTTAAAGCACATTCCTCAGGTACTGCTTAGTTACAAGGCAAAGGTATTTGTCAATCCCTGAAATTTACTTCCCAGATCATATTCCAGCAGTATCACCTGCTGGAATTAGGGGCAAATGCAAGGTCAGGAAATTTCTGTATGTTTGATAGGATTATTATAGCTTGGAGGTCAGAAAGAGTAGGAACAGAAATCAGTCATAGGGGAGGACACTGAAGCCTGCTTGTAGGTGCAGCATCTTACCAACAAAATTTCCAGGCCTCCTGTTACCTGTCTAAACACTCCAACAGCTTCTTATTTCACTCAGGGTAAAAGCCAAAGTTTTGTTAATGTCCTAGAAAGTCCTACATGATAAGGTCTTTCCTTACTTGTCTGTTCTCATCTATAACTATATACACCTTGTTCAGTCTCCTCAGAAAACTTACCTCCTTTTTATTCCTCAGACACAGCAGATGTGACTCCATCTCAGGACATATCCGTACAGCTTATGCCTTCACTTTCTTCAATAATTTGTTTAAATGTCACTCTCTCAGTGAAGTCTATTTTATAGTTAACTCGATACTTCTGAAACCCCTTGCCCTATTAGTTGTTTTCCATGGGACATATCAACTGTCATTATTTAATGTACATATTTATTATATGAGAGTCTGATTCCCTTGACTAAAATACCAGACTTCACAAAAGAAAATGTTTCCATCTCTTTTATTGACTGCTATATTTGATGAATGAACGAGTAGCCTCACATTGGATGACTAAAGCAGAGGACTTTCAGGATTTCTTGATGCTGTAGGACACATCTTCTGTCTACCACAGTCTGTTACACTCCTGACACGTGCAGCCAGCTCACCACGTGGCAAGCATTATCTTCAAGAACAACCTCCTTCTTAGGGATTTTCCCAGAATAATACTCCCTAGACCTTACTACTTAGCTTCTCTTTGATCTTTAACTATATGCCTCAGGACCGAACCTCAGTTTCTGGTCCCTTCACGTTGATGATTGCTTTGGACTACCATTGAACTGCTTGCCCTTCCATCTAAGTCTCTATATTGCATCCTTGCTCACCATTCATCCAGAATCACCTCCGCCATCCTTCCCAATGGAGGAGGAGCAGCCTGCAGTGTGCTTCACATACATTTACATCTTTAAAATATGCAGCCCTCAGGGTATCGATTTGCCACCTACAATTTTGTACTTATAGCCAAGTCTGCATTTTTAAAAATATTCCAGATAAAACATGTAGAACATAAAGAGAGGAGTCTCCCTCTACTCCTGCCATTTCCTTCATTTTATCGTCTTATTTTCTCTGTTCCTCAGTTGATTTTCCTCTGCTTTCTGTTGAGTTACTTTCTGCTTGCCTTGGGGTCTCTCTTCCCAGACAGTGTCTTGTGGGCCTATTTCCCATGCTATGCCTCTCTGTGTTTGAAATTTCAGAAGCAGGTGTGGAGTGCAGGCATCTGAAACACATCATCTGCCAACTAGCTACAGTGGTGAATACTGATTGAAGGCCAGGGATGAAGCTGGGAAGGGACTTGAAGCCAGGGCTGAACTGACTCATGCTGCTAAGCTGTGTAATAGAAGTCAAAGAGCCAAGAAAAGGAGCCGGATATAAACTTTTCATCATATAGAGGTTTTAATTCTGGGAACAAGAGTGATTTATTTTTAAATACCGGAGTCATCATTTGCTAGTGATGTTAAAACTTCAGAGAAAGTTTTATTTCTGCTGTTTTCATCTAGGGCTGATAAAACCTGTTTTTAATGAATACATACACCCAACAAGCTCGGGTCTTCCTGAGGTTCACACCTTTGTGTAATAATCTCCTTTTGATTGTGGACAGGAGGTGTAACTTGCTTCTAATACATAGAATTTGGCAAAGGAAAGTGAAGGGATGTCACTCCTATGGATATATCATATAATACTCCATCTTGCTTTCAGACTGGCTCTAGGGACACTCCTTAGTGGCTTGATGGAGTAAACAGACATGTTAGGAAATCCAACATGACAAGGAAGGTATCTCTATCCACTACCCATCCTGAAGCTGGGGCACTTAGTCATACAATTGTGAAGAAAAATGAATCTTGCCAAAAATTTGAGTGAGCTTGAAAATAGATCCTTTCTCAGTCAAGCATCCAGATAAGACTGCAGCCCTGGCAGACCTACGCTGCAACCTTATGAGATGCTAGGCACACAAAAAAGCTCAGCCTAGCTCAGGCTACTGACCCATAGAAACTGTGAAGTGATGAATCCTGGTTGTTTTAAGCCTTCTATTTTTTTGTTTGTGATAATTTGCTACCAAGCAACAGAGAACTAAGACCTAGTGGCTTCTCAATGACAAAAAAAAAAAAAAAAAAGTAAAAAAGACTTTAAAGGATACTGTCATATCAATAGACCCAATAGGAGCCCTGAATTTTATCAGATGAGATCAGTTTTCCTCCTATTCCAACCACATTTGATTATACTAGGATTGAGCAACTGCCAGTTCCTAAACTAAGAGATGTTTTGACCTTAGCAATCACACTTAAAAATTGAACTGGACCAATTAGATTTTCTTTATACAGTTGAAACTAAGAAATGTCCTACGTGTCTCACAGGTTTTTAGAAAGAGCATAAAATTTGAGTGTGCATGTGGATGTGTTTACTATAAAGTGCTGCTCTACCCACACATAAGATATTAATATTTCATTTTAATTATGACTTTCAAAATAAAGTGTACCTAAACGTCAGGTGTAGTCAACATAGATTTATAATTATCTCTTCCGATTGTGTTGATGTTTCCATGTTAGATGGATTTAAAAAAAAAAAAAACCTTTGGTGATGTATCCATTTATATTATTCAGCACTCTCAAGTAACAGCTTTTTAAATCTTAACTTTTTTTCTGATGGAAGCGAAGACAGCATAGGGCTCCTGAATTTAGTAAAGTGCAAAAGTGTGCTAGTAGCAAAATGGTGTAGAAGGTACAGAAAAATAAATTTGTTGTTGGAGCAGTGCCTGGAACAAAGGAAGTGCTTGACATATGTTAGCCACGACTATTTTCATTGTGTTTATCACTCATTACCAGTGTCATTAGATATTTGGTGGGTGGGGATAGAGTTAAGTAAGAAGCAGTTCTCAATATTAAAGAGCTTGATAGGAAAGGCATAGTATTTTTTACAAAAAAAACAGGTGATATGTGGTAGAGTTTACTTCAGAAAAGTTTATAAATAAATACTGAACTCAGGTCAATGATATGCATGTCAAAGTATTTAGGGATAAAGTGTACTGAGGTCTGCAACTGACTTTGAAATGTATCAAAAAACTAAGATAGATTGATAAGTGGATGGATGGATAGATATGGGATATAATAAATATAGCAAAATGGTAATTGTAGAATCTAGGTGGTAGATATTAGGGTGTTCAGTGTATAATTATTTCAACTTTTATATATGTTTGAGCCTTTTCATAATAAAATATTAAGAATAGCATAAAAAGAAATTTGTAGTTTTATTATGGTTTGTCTTGATGGAAATCCAAAATCAGTTTACCTTAATAGCTGTCACATAGTGTATCTGATGTATTTATTGTTTTAAAATAACAATTATTGAGTAGTACCTATTATGGAAGATGACAGGTGCCATTGCTAAAGAGGTGAATATTTTAAAATAACTTAAAGAGTGTAATTGGATTGTTTGTAACTCAAAGGATAAATGCTTGAGGGGATGGATACCCCATTCTCCATTATGTGCTTATTTGACTTTGCATGTCTATATCAAAACATGTCATGTACCCTATAAATATATACACCCACTATATACCCACAACATTAAAAAAAAAGTTAAAAAGGCAAAAAACGGGTGAATAGGCACAGTACCTTTTGTCAAATATTTCACACCTATGAAAATATTATATAATCTTATATATGATTCAACCATGATTAAAATTAATGATCCAATTAAAAGCCAACTATTTCAGCAATTAGTAAAGGAGAAAATCCAGAAAGAAGCTTTGATATTAGATATAAAACTATAACATTACAGAAGACATTACAGAAGACATTACAATGGTCCCTCCATGTCAATATATGCAGAACCCATGGCTATAGAGAACCAACTGTAAGAATCCTGAAGATCAGCAGATTTTGGTATCTGCAAGGAGTCCTCGAATGAATCCCCTGAAGATACTGAAAGACGACTATACTCTTTTTTTAATAAAGAAAATAAATATTAGCAAATATCTACATGCTAGTTGTCATCGTGAAAATCATCAGGAAGTTGAATTGTTTCAGATAATGAAATTGCTAAAGACCAATCCTAAATGATTAAAAGGTTTCTTTCCATAGTTCCAGAAATGTTTGACTTCAAAATTAGCTGGGCCTGGTGGCAGATGCCTGTAGTCCCAGCTACTCGGGAGGCTGAGGCAGGAGAATGGCGTGAACCCAGGAGGCGGAGCTTGCAGTGAGCCGAGATGGCGCCACTGCACTCCAGCCTGGGTGACAGCAGAGCAAGACTCCGTCTCAAAAAAAGAAACTTTGAGGCCGGGCGCAGTGGCTCACGCCTGTAATCCCAGCACTTTGGGAGGCCGAGGCGGGCGGATCACGAGGTCAGGAGATCGAGACCATCCTGGCTAACACAGTGAAACCCCGTCTCTACTAAAAATACAAAAAAATTAGCCGGGCCTGGTGGCGGGCACCTGTAGTCCCAGCTACTCAGGAGGCTGAGGCGGGAGAGTGGCCTGAACCCGGGAGGTGGAGCTTGCAGTGAGCTGAGATTGTGCCACTGCACTCCAGCCTGGGAGACAGAGCGAGACTCCTTTCAAAAAGAAAGAAAGAAAGAAAGAAAGAAAGAAAGAAAGAGAGAGAGAGAGAGAGAGAGAGAGAGAAAGAGAGAGAGAGAGAAAGAAAGAAAGAAAGAAAGAAAGAAAGAAAGAAAGAAAGAAAGAAAGAAAGAAAGAAAGAAAGAAAAGACCCGGGAGGTGGAGCTTGCAGTGAGCTGAGATTGTGCCACTGCACTCCAGCCTGGGAGACAGAGCGAGACTCCTTTCAAAAAGAAAGAAAGAAAGAAAGAAAGAAAGAAAGAAAGAAAGAAAGAAAGAAAGAAAGAAAGAAAGAAAGAAAGAGAGAGAGAGAGAGAGAAAGAAAGAAAGAAAGAAAGAAAGAAAGAAAGAAAGAAAAGAACTTTGAATATATGAATGCTTTTTATAGGGAACTAAATGTGTTGGAATTTTGTTGTAGAAAATAATATTGATTCACTTAAATGAGTAAACTCTGTTACAGGAAGTTGTCTGGATTGAAATATGAAAATACAAACAAGTCGCTCTAGGAGCACACGGGAAGGAGCCACCAGAAAATAATTGGAGGAGTAGGTGATGGTTCAGTTTTGTTTTGGAGAATGAGAATGAGTTGAAAATCAGAAAAGAAATAGCAGAAATAAGGACACAGAAGTGCAAAAGAATTTTTATAAAGGGCTGATGTGTACCTTTATTGAAATACTTCGTGTTAAGTCTATTCAAGAAGGTCCCTTTGAATGTTTGTGGCGCAAACCTCTTAGTTAATTACTTTTACTTAGTTTTAAGGTCCCTTCTCCTTTCTAAATAGTTCTAGGGTTATGATCCTATTTAAATTTTATAACCAGCATGAAAAATTCTAGAAATTATAGATCCTTATTACCTAGGATCTATATAACACATGAACCTTGTTATTGAACCCGAACAGACATCTCAGTCCATTTAATAGGGGAGTCAAATACTCACTATATTTTTAGAATACACTTTGTAATGGCAATTTCATATATACTAAATTCTGTGAAGGGAGAGTGATGTGTAAGAAATACCATGAAAGGAAATGTATAAATACCCAAAGAGTTCCCTCAGCAATGGAAATAGAACATTGAAAGTGCAATGTAAACACTAGTGTGAATACCTAATTTTTTTGTATCAACTTGGCTGGGCCATGGTTTGGTCAAACACTGTTCTGGATGTTTCTGTGAAAAGGTTTATTGGATGAGATTAACATTTAAATCACTGGACACCAAGTAAGGGAGATGACCTTCATAATATGAGTGGGCCTCATTCAATCTCACTTGAGGGCCTGAATGGGACAAAGACTGACCTCTCCAGAGCAAGAAGGAATTCTGCCAGCAGACTATCATTGAATTTAGACTGTGTCTCTTCCCTGAGTCTCCAGCTTCGTGCCCAATCCTGAATATTTTGGACATTCACTTCCAAAGGTACATGAGTTAATTCCTTAGAATAATTTTTTCTCTCTCTGTCTCCGTGTGTGTGTGTGTGTGTGTGTGTGTGTATTCTATCCCCCTGAGTAATACAACTAGTTTTGTAACAGTGAACATTTAATCACTGTGAATAATAATTTCCCATCTCTAAAATAAAGGAGTTGGACTAGCTGACTTCAAATTTCCTTGCACCCAGATTGTCTGTGAACTACAATTTTAGGTCATTTTCTCAACAAACTGTGATATAGCAAAGCTTGGATGCACTGCGTTTTATTTCCAGTGTTAATCACTTATAATATGATCTTTAGTTCTAAAGGACAAAAATTGTAATTACAAATAAATTGCAATAGGAAATTTTACATACAAATTAAATAACCACATGTATTCACTATGTTCCTATGAAAATAAGTTTGTAACTGTATGAGACCAGCACAAATGTTTAGAGATGGAATATTTTTCTCCCCAAAATATCACTTTGCTTATTTCTATGCATTTTTTCATGAACTGACCAGAACAACTGATACTTGGTTATCATTTTGATTAAGAGTTATTGCTTTGATTGGAATTAAATTTATTTTCAAAGGTTTTTCCATGTTTACAACGTTATTTTGCTTTGAAGAGCTAATGATCTATGCAGAATTTTCATGCATATATCATCAAAAGCATTTACAAAAAGACACAAAATAATTTATTTTTTCTGATAATCCATCCATGTTGGCAACTATGATTTTAAGCAGATGGCACTATGATAAATTATCCAATATGTAGGAATCTTGGCATGAATCTGGAAACTGCACAGATGCTTATAATGAGATGTTCATGATCACATACTACTTGTACATTCAGAGAATAACAGATCCTTCTGTTATGAAAGAAGCTTATGTGGTGAGTTTTTTAAGAAATGTTTAGTGGCACTGCTTTGGTTTAAGGATGATGTATTCCCCAGTAAATATATTTGTTACTTTTGGTGGTTTCAATCTTTAAGGTAAAATATTTCTAAGAGAAGATTTTGATGGAATGTATCAATTTAGTTTATTCTTTATTTTTTTAAAGAAGCTGAAAATACCCTGGGCTTAAAGGTGTTTTGTAAACACCTTTAAGCCCAGGGTATTTTCTAGATCTCAATACAATTTTACTCCTTAACCACAGAGCTCTCCAGTCTATCATTTGAGAATAACTGCATTTTCTTACGTGGAGAAAATATTATTTCAAGTGAACAATAAATGGTGATATCAAGATATATGAATTGAGGTGCTATATCAATTCTCCCCTAAATACAGGCTACAGAATAGGTAAAATGAACCATTCAGGAAAAAATAAAAGCTGTTATTCAAAGGAAAAAGGCTAATCAAACTGGAGTTGTAAAGGACTTTAGATAATATAAATAGAGAGCTAGTGACGTGGAATCTTGACTGATAATTCCCAAGGAAGTCAAATAAATCACATATAATACAAATACAAATAACTGGCAGAAACACAGATCATAATGGTATATTTCTCAGTTCTTTAATACTGAGATATTAAATCTCTACTATTTGAATGTCTGAGTCTCAATTCTGATATCAATGTTGTTTCTCTGATTTATGTATGGAGAAAGACACAAAGGTTCTAGCATATTTTAGGTCCTAGCTTATTTATATTATGCTCTGTTCTGTGTGTATGTCTCTCATTTACCACTCTGCTTACAAAAACACACTTTCCGAAAACTCAGTAGAAGAAGATGCGAGACCATTTGGAACATGCACAAATATTTCTGAATGTTTTAATTTCATTGTATGCTTTATATTTTGATATTATAAATAACAATTCTCACCTATTTACGTATTTATTATATTGACAGTCATTATTGAACTTTAAGACTACAAACCACAGCTTATGAATTATATGCCAATTTATGTGCCACCTATCTTTTAGTTTTATATTTCAAAGCTGAATTACAAACACTTTTACCTAGGCACATTTGAGAGTTGCTTCGAGTGTGTATAAATTTGAATTTGGTTGATGTATAATAAATTTGCTGTCTCCATTTTATTAAAATTTCAGTATATCTGGAACTTTTATTGAAATAAATGATGACAGCATTAAAAACTAAAATTCAATAATTTTGTGATATTTTGATTCTACTTATGTGGTCCTAAGTTGTCATATTTTTCTCATTAAGAAAAATATAATACACATTTTTTTAACCATACCTTTGTAAATATACCATACAAAACAAATCGATACAATAATATGGAAAATCTGTTTTTCTTCCTTCAGTTTGCACTTCACATTAAATATACTCTGGTTTAGGAAAATTTTTTAAACATACAGGTATATTTATAAGGGTATGAATTAAATAGATATAGAGAGAATTAATAGTTTTTCCCCATATTTCCTTTGTTTCTTTTGCTTATCTATTTACTTTTGTATTTTTTTAATTGTTGAGGATTGTATTTAGTGGCTATAAGAAAACAATAAAACCACCCATGAATAATGAGGCCAACAGTTTTCAAAATGTGATCAGAGATGCCTCTATTTCCCTAAGACCCTTTCAGGGTTTTCATAAAGTCAAACTATTTTCCTAATACTAAGACCTTGTTTGCCTTTTCACATTTATTATCTGAAGAGCGTATAGTGAAGTTTTCCAGAGGCTGCACAACATGTGATATGACAACAGATTGAACTCAGAAGTGGATATGAGAGTCCAGCTGTCTTTATTAATATAGATATTTAAAAGAATTTTCAAAAATGTGAAACTATGACACTCTTTTGATTATACTGTTTGCTGATCTGAAAAAGAGTTATTTTATATAAAAATATATTCATGTTAACACATGTTTATTACTGAACTAAATACATTAATCCATAAATATTTTTAATTTTTTTCTATTTTAAGATCTAATACTGTAAATATTAATAGGTATAGTTTATATTTTAAAAATATTTAAAATCCTCAATAATTTTTAAATATATAAAGGAGTCCAAAGTCTCAAAACTTTGAAAACTTCTGTCCTAGATCAGTCTACAATTCCTGAGATTATTGCCATTTTCTCTATGACTATAAAAACTTAAAATGACTGAGATCTCCTGTTTCTTTTTCTCTTATCCTATTCAGTGAAAATATATTAAGAATTTTAATAATCAAATTACCGTACTAAGCACTGGGGCTAAAAGGGTCCGTAAAACCCCATGTCTATATCAGAAAAAAACAGTGTCCTGGAGCTAGTATATGCTAATCAATAAAGGGGTATTACCCGCATGTGATACTGTAGCATGTTTCAGACACAAAACATTGTTTACTGAATAATGCTTCCAGTATTTTTATGTTAATTATTTTGCCTTAGCTATTCTTTAGCAGAAATGATAGCACTAAATCAAAGTTACTGCCTTCCTACACCTAAGATCCCAGTGCTTGAGTCGTGCAAGTTCCAGAGTGCATCTGGGCAATATATGCTGCCTCAAGGAAATTTAACATAGCAGGTATATAAAAAGAAAGAAAAAAAGTCCTTACAATATAGGCTTTTCGAGGGTCTATTTTAAAGTCAAAGCTTTTGATTTATGTAATTTAGCTTTTGTAAGAGAATAAAATTGTATTAATTCGTTTTCACACTGCTGATAAAGACATACCTGAGACTGGGCAGTATACAAGGGAAAGAGGTTTAATGGAGAACTGACAGTTCCACATGGCTGGGGAAGCTTCACAACCATGTGGAAAGTGAAAGGCACGTCTCACATGGCGGCAGACAAGAGAAGAAGAAGGCTTGTGCAGGAAAACTCACTGTTATAATGACCATCAGATGACCACCGGATCTCGTGAGACTTACTGTTACAAGAACAGCACGGGAAAGACCTGCTTCCATGATTCAATTACCTCCCACTAGGTCCCTTCCACAACATGTAGGAATTCAAGATGAGATTTGGGTGGGGACACAGCCAAACCATGTCAAAAATGTTCTCCAAAAGCAAAAGGGAAGTCACTTTAAATAGCAGGACATATGTTTATGTCACATCAATAATTGGAGAAATGATAAAGATGGGAAGCTTAGCCCCTAGAAGATATACCTCATCTGGTCTGAAATAGAGTTTAGAAGAAGACAATGAAACCTGCAATAGTTAGTGCTGAAACTTACAGTGACCATATGTCAAGAAGCAAATACAGCATCATAAGCCTGGCAAGCATGAGCCCTACCACTCTCACTGAGCACCATGGAAGGCAAGCCAAGGCTTGAAGCATACCAGTTCTCATATAAGCACATGCCTTACATAAGCTGGATTGAGAAGTCATGTAGCTTATGCTTTTTATTGTTGTTTGGCAAGGTCTTCAACAATTTCCTGCAGGTTGCCTGTGAGTCATCCCATGGAAGTGATTCTCACACATGCTGCAAGATTCTTCTGAGCTTTATTCAAAATTGCCAATGTGGACACTCCAATATTTACTTTTTGCACAATTGTAGGCCTTTTGAACATCATAAGAGAATTCAGGAACTTACAGTGATATACACAGGAAAGACCTTAGTGATTGCACTATGGAGTCCAGCCCCAAATCTGTTATTCATGAGGATTTATATCCATACGGCAGACAGAATAATTACCAATCCCTATAATAAAAACCAGAAGCCTAGTTATTTGAGTTCAGGGTCATGATCTTTTAGGAAAACAAACATGTATACATGCACACCAAGGAAGAAACAGGTTTTTCAGGGAAAGTAAGAAAAGAAGAAAAAGAAAGACCTATAAAATCGTCTGTAAATCTTCTAAATCTTCTTTCTTGGACTCTGAACTGTCACCATATTAAGCCTCTTTTCAGGTACAGAATGAACATATCCACAGCAACATCTTAAGCTCAAAGTGTTGTGGCCTAGAGAATATTTGAAAGGGGTGGGATTTATAGGAAAAGACCAGAGCCAATATGAAGGCCAGAAAGAAAATTTGCAGCTGGAAATATGGACACGAAGTCACTTTTGCGAGGCCTTGGGAAGTCAGAGAAGAATATCACACTGAGTTTTGTTATTGTTTAAGATATGAGGACACCTCCATCACTCTTGAGCCAGATGCCATTGTGAGTCACAACAGGATAATGATGCACAATTGCTCAAAGAAAGCTCTGCCTGTGCTGGTGGCAAAGCTACTAATGAAGAAAATGTAAATTCATGGGCCCACCTCAGACCTAAAGAATCAGAAACTCTGAGGATGGAGGTCAGCAATATGCTTTAATATGCGCATTAGGTGATTCTGAGGCACAATTATTTGAGAACTACTGTTTTAGGGAAATGCATAGTGCCCTCTAGTGTTCACATAAGATAATAAAAGTTAGTTTCCAGATTTTACCTAGCCAAATTTGGAGAGATGGCAAGTGATAGAACAATCAAGTTTGATAATATTCAGCTTTCAACTTCTAGGATTAAATGGCACGCTTATGTAAGAGGAAGTGTCTTTTCCAGGTAGGAAAAGTCTTACTGAGGTAGGATGAAATCGAGATTATATTTTGTAGATTAAAGCAATAGAATTCTATTCCTAATAACCTCGGTTGTACCCTGGCTTCCATACCTATTGAAATAATGGCATGCTTTGTATTAGAGCAAGGTCAAATACAGCCAAAATAAAGTATTTATTGTTCAATTTTTACTTTTAAGTTAGATGTCTTTTTTAGTTTACAGAAAGATAATAGGCATTGTTAATTTTCCCCCTACATTTTAGAAATTTCATTTCAAATATCTAGACGGAACTTAAAAATCTGAGCATGGCTCTTTGCCAAAGCCAAAGTGCATAGAGGACATAATAGATAAATGATATCATGGCAGCTTTACTGTGACTTAGAAAGGAAATAAATGTTTCAAAAGTGCTAAGAATATAAATATCCAGATATTTAAGGTCTTGAGATCTCTGATAAGGACCCAGGCCCCAAGTCTTGAATTGGGAAAAGATAAAATAATCCCATGGTAGGGAAAGGGGTGAGCTGAAAGAGAAGACCTTATACCTGAGGTACATGATAACCAAGAAGACTAGAAATAGAGGCCTGACATGCACACGCAGAAGCAATGGCAAAAATGGTGCCACAAAGATCTCACAGCTTGCTTGAGGCATGCAAGAGCTGCAGAACTTCTTCATTTTCTCTTTGGACATGTGACAATACCAAGAGGACCTGTGACCTGCAAGACACCCCAAGTTAGAATCAGAGAAGAACAGAATCAGGTAAACTTGTGATCTGAGGCTGTTGGGGGCTACAGTCATCCTCAGTGAATGCCGGCCTGATAATCTAGAACCAGTTAGAACCAGGGGGCACACCTGCAGCCACCAGTTCAGGACTGACGGCCAGTGTGAAGTTCAGTGAGGACAAGATGTTGTGTATGGATAATACCTTTGATAAAGATTAAAATGCTTCACACTGAAGCAAGGCACAGAACTCCAGAAAGTCATGGCAGAAAGAGACCCTTTGAAGCAGAAAATAGTTCTCGTAGTGTGTTTCAACTTTATATTGACAGAATATTTAAGTGAAAACAACTATTTTAAACCAGAAGAGATCAAATTATGTTTAAGAAACAGGTGTAAGATCCACTCCTCTGCCACCACCATCAGCAAGAAAGTGTGTTCTGAGAGATAATGAGTTCAGTTATAGACAATAAATTTACATTTGCAGAGTTAAAATTATAACTCAACACATAAGGAGCCATGATCCATGGACCTGCCTTTTCCAATAGTCTTCCTAGGTCTTCCAAGTAAAGCTCTTCTTGCAGCAAGTGAGGCACTTTGGTAACATTTCATATGAGTAGATCAATTTTCTATCCAAAGCAATATTATATTTGAACTTAAGTAAATGCACATTCTTTATCAAGAACGATAGTTATCGGCAATTCATGCACTGCACAAAAGCAGCAATGAACTGTATTTGTTGAAATGGAATTTCTGCTGTCATACTAGCATCTCTTCAAATGAATTTGAGAAGAAGCTACAACAATCAAGATGGCATATTATTTTTGAAAATCTATAGGACTTATTTACCACAGATAAGTTGAGTAACCTGGCATGTGTGTTTTTCAGCATTGACATCCATTCCAGGACATCAGATATATTGCACAGCCAAGATTTGAGTGCAAACAGTCCAAGATATGCTACATAAAGTGATGCCAAATGTGATAATAAATGCCTTCTACAAAAACAAGGCTTACTCATAAAAGACATTCTTTGTGAACAGATAACTCATGCTGACAGCTTGTGAATTCCAGAATTCTTTAGGCAGTTTTTCTACTGCCTTTCTCTCTAGCCCAAGTTTGTAATGTTAACTGATCAGCACAAAAAGATAGTTAAGAATGCATTTTAAAAACAGAGTTTAGATAATTTGGTGTTTGCAATAGCATACAACAAAAAGCTTTAATATATTATCTTCTACATGTGTAGACCGGCACAGAAATCTAAGCATTAAAAAAAAAGATTCTAGCAAAACATGAATGTGCATATAATTGTTTGTTGCCTTATCCTTGGACAAAAGTTTCCAAAGAGTATATGTTTTAAAATGCAGCCATAAATCTACTTAAAGTGCTTCTTTATTCAGGCTTGCAAACATAGCATTGTCTTTGTCAATTTATCTGTCCTCCGTTCTGGTAAGTGACATTGTTCCTGAGTAGTAATCAATTGATGTCTCCGTGCCATCTGGCATTCTGTTGCTAAGCACAGCTGCAACACTGCAAGGTGAAGTGTGAGTGGCAAGAAGCAGAGTTTATGTTCATCACTATGTAACATTCCAGACTACACAGTCAATAAATCCTTTCTGTGCCAGGCTGATACCATGAACTGCTTTATCTTAACAGGTGATGAAATACCTTGGTAATTTAAGAAAATATGATGAAAAGTAATCATGCTAATGAGATTTTGAAGATCTTTCTTTGTTTACATAGTGATCTCACAAAAAGGATACTTTTTTTCTCTTTAGTATATATAAACCATTAATAGCCATATCATTACACAAAAATATATTACTAAAAACTCTGAGTTCATATTTGTTTTCTGTCACGTAGAAATATGTTATAGTATTTCTCACTGACTTCTTTTTAACATCAGTAGGGGCTTATGTAATTGGTCATTAAATATCTTAGAGTGAAAGCTTGTGTTACTAATAATTATACAGAGAAAACAGGCATATACCAGAAGTCTCCCAGACAAATCTACTTCAAGTCTTCCATTACAGAAATTGAGCCCCATTAAATATTGTAAACTTTAAGTAAAAACTTAAATTCTGATTAAAGTAGTTCTCAAAACATTGCTAATGATCTGCCTTCAAAATATCATAAATAATCAGCTGTTACTAAGATTGGGTGTGCTATATTAAAATTTAATACAAACCTTCCTCTAAGCAAGAGCAGTAAGGCTTTGATTGGAGCCATGATTGCTAATGCCTACGTGCACCTATGCATTCCATGAGGTCTCCCTTTGCCATTGCATTTCATGAATACAACCATCCATCGGCATAATCACCTTGGGTACGTGTCTAACTAATTCAGGAATATCTTTCTGAATTTGATGTTCCAGATTTTCTTTTGCCTTCCTTAGATAAAATAGATATGCTCAACCTTCAGATAAATTTCTTCAGTGAGTGCATCCAGTTGGAATAAAACTGGCTGAGAAAATACCCTGGGGAAAGGTACTGACAAATCCCTGTAGTAGATAACCACCTATAATAGATGAATGGCTTCAAAAAATATCCCCAGTGATGAGGAGCATTTTTTAAAGAGTGCTTTCTCTTTTTAACAATGAAATTCTTAGAGAAAGAGGCACACTGTACATTGCAAGAAGTTTTAAGAAAAAGAATAGACATATTTTATACTTTGTTAATATAGTCAAGCAAGTACCAAATTTTTATATAGTATATATTATGTGCCAGGAAATTTGCAAGGTGAATTTTATCTTCGTAAATTCACAAAATCAAACAAAATTAGGTCCCTTTTATAAATTTGAATATAGGAGTGTGACACAAGAAAATTAACACATAAGCAACAATAAGGTATTTACTCTAAGTGCATCCCTTTTATTTTCTGTGACTACCTACCCCAGCCTTTTCAGATGTTTAATTGACTTAAGCACTGAGTACAACTTACACTTAAAATTATGCCTATATTTTTTAGGCAGATGAAAAGGAGGAAAAATAGAAATAGGACTAATCATTATTGGCACTACAATTTGTGCTTTAGGAAACACAATATGCTTAGCAATAAAAATTAAAATATTGGCTGGGTGCGGTGACTCACACCTCTAATCCCAGCACTTTGGGAGGCCGAGGCATGTGGATCACCTGAGGTCAGGAGTTCAAGACCAGCCTGGCTAACATGGTGAAACCCTAGCTCTGCTAAAAATACAAAATTAGCTGGGCATGGAGGTATGCACCTGCAATCCCAGTTACTCGAGAGGCTGAGGCAGGAGAATCGCTTGAACCCAGGAGGTGGAGGTTGCAGTGAGCCAAGATCGTGCCACTGCACTCCTGCCTGGGCAACAGAGTGAGACTCCATCTCCAAAAAAAATAATAAAAATATTTTTCTGGTTATATATTCACAAATTATTGCCAATTAGTGTAAAGTTAACTAAAGACATACAAAAATACATAGGATATAAACTATATTTTAAAATATATCATAATTCTTTTACATTAACTTTTAGGTACATAGATAAATAAATTGAGAGATATCCATTTTACTTATAAGAAGACACTTTTCCTTAATTAATGAAATTAACTGATGGAACTTTTAAAAGTACTACACAATGGTAAATATTAATAGTTTTCTATACTATGCAAATTTGGCCTCTTCCTTACTAACAAAATACAAATTCTGTTCAGGGTTGCAATACAGCAGACTAAAAACACCTTCACTTTTTAGTTTCCTTTCATGGCCATGTACCTCCAGATTCCTTATGTAAGAAAAATAAAACCCATGCTGTCTCAAGCTAATGAGTTGGTTTTCTGTTGCTTTTGTATAAGCCAGATTCTAATGGATGGATATATTATTAGGTTTTTTTTTTTTTTAAAAAAATGACATTTCATCTGGAAAAATAAAAAGGCCCAAAGTCAAGAAACAACAGATGTTGGCGAAATTGCAGAGAAAAAGGAATACTTACACTGTTGGTGGAAGTTTAAATTAGTTCAACCATTGTGGAAGACAGTGTGGTGATTCCTCAAAGATCTAGAGGCAGAAATACCATTCGACCCACCAATCCCATTACTGTGTTTATACCCAAAAGAATATGAATTATTCTATTATAAAGATACATGCATGTGTATGTTCATTGCAACACTATTCACAGTAGCAAAGACATAGAATCAACCCAAATGCCCATCAATAATAGACTGGATAAAGAAAATGTGGTATATATATACCATGGAGCACTATGCAGCCATAAAAAGGAATGAGATCACATCATTTGTAGGGACATAAATGGAACTGGACACCATTATTCTTAGCAAACTAATGCAGGAACAGAAAATCAAATTGCATGGTCTCACTTATAAGTGGGAGCTGAGCAATGAGAACACATGAACATGAACACATTGTGGGGGAACAACACACACTGGGGCCTTTTGCGGGAGCAGGGGAAGGGGGAGCATCTGGAAGAATAGTTAATGGGTGCTGGGCTTAATACCTAGGTGATGAGTTGATCTGTGCCGCAAACCACTATGGCACACGTTTACCTATGTAACAAACATGGACATACTGCGCACGTACCCTGGAAATTAAAGGCTGAAGGAAAAAAGTTCATATTATTTGGTTACAAAAAAATAAAAGAAAACCTCAACATAAAACATGAAGATCCAAATATAGTGTGATATATAAAAAAGAAAATATACAGTAATAGAACACAAAATGGAGTCAACAAATTCATATTTTATAGCATGAAAGTATATAAAGAAGGGAGAATAATGATTAAATTAAGCATATAAAGGTATTTATACCTTTTAGTAACTTTAGTAATTTATAATTATTAAATTCTCTATTTCAAACTAGAGAGGGAAAATAATCACATACTATTATTTAAAAAAAAAAACTATAATAGAAGAAAAATACTTTAAGATTTAACTGAAATGGAATGGAATAATTTTTCAGAATATATAAATCATATAAATGAACGTTCAAAGAGAATTTTTAAATAATAAGTATACAATTATTAGAAAAAGATAATATCAAATGTGGTTGGGAGTATACAATATGGGGATTTATTCATTCAATAATTATTTAATGAACACCAGAGTTGCACTGTTAGGGCTGAGCACTAGTGGATTATGAACTGGACATGGTCCTTCTTCTCATTTTAAAATCCATAACTATGGGGAAAAAGACAAAACTAATAATGAACATACAAATAAACTTAAAATTCAAAATTTTCTAAGGGCTACGGTGAGGAGTCAAGAGTCAACAGGTTCAATAAATAGTATAGATATATTACAAATGTATTACCTCTCCATATATAGCAACTATCCAAATATTATATTCATCCAAGCAAATGCATATACCTTGGTAAACAAAATAAAAATTAGTATGTACTTAAAATGTATTAAAAACACATCATGCCATTCCACATGTCGATGTTTTCTCTCAACGTTTTGGTATTGATGTTTATTCTTTTTTTTTTGAGACCGAGTCTCGCTCTGTCGCCCAGGTTGGAGTGCAGTGGCGTGATCTCGGCTCACTGCAAGCTCCGCCTCCGGGGTTCACGCCATTCTCCTGCCTCAGCCTCCGGAGTAGCTGGGACTACAGGCGCCCGCCACCACGCCCGGCTAATTTTTTTGTATTTTTAGTAGAGACAGGGTTTCACCATGTTAGCCAGGATGGTCTCGATCTCCTGACCTCATGATCCGCCCGCCTCGGTCTCCCAAAGTGCTGGGATTACAGGCGTGAGCCACCAAGCCCGGCCTATCTTTATTCTTGATTATTACATGCTATTCTACTCTAGGACCATAAAAATTTGTCTAGTCATAATCTGGTCCTTCCTAGTATCTTTATATTATTAAAAAATTATAAAAATCTAGACTTTTTGCATGACTTTTGTGTATAGGTGCATGAGTTTCATTAGTGTATATGCCTAGAATTTTGATTTTAGGGTTGATATATTCAATAATATTTTTAAAAATTTATACCAACATAAAATTCAGTAACATGTTTTCACATTCCTAGTTCCCTTCTGGGCTAATACTGAGCAATAGCAGACATACAATTTGGACAACTTCTGTTTGTGTGAATTGGCATCTAATTGTTTTTTAATTTTCATATCATCAGTGATTAGAAAAATTGAGATTTTTTCATGTTGATTGGCCACTAGGCTTTCCATTTCGTGAATTGCTTGTTCAGATCTTTTTATCATTTTTTTCTTTGAGTTGTCTTCTTATTTTTAATTTCTAGTTCTTTCTATATTCTGAGTATAGTTCTTTATTGGTTATATGCATCTTTCTGTCTTTGTGTATTTTTTAACTTTTTAAGCTTTTCTTGGTAATTTTAGAATTTTAATTATTCCAATTAAATGTTTCTCTATAATGGCCTTTTGTGTCTTATTTAGAAAAATTGCCTTTACCTGAATTCCACTGAGGTAGTCTCATGGTTTTCTTAATTTTAACATTTTGTTTTTCATACATAGGTCTCAAATTCATGCAGAAATATTTTTGTGTATGGTTTATAGTTAAAGTAGAAATTTAATCAAAATGCTTTCTATATGATGAACACTTGTTTCATTTCACTTATTACATAGGTCATGTTCTAATATCCCTCTAATATACCATATAATATATCCTTATATACAACTGAGGATACAGAATCTCTATTCTCTTCTACAAGGTTATCACTATCCAAATGCAATATATCCAAATGCTATGTAATTTTAATCATCAAAGTGCATTATTAAATATATCTAATGAGACAAATTAATTTCTATTTACTTTTCTTCTCTAAAACTATATTGGCTATTTTGAGCTCATTACTTTTCATAACTTTTCAAGTGAGTTTTCAAGTTCGTTAAAAATTTTGAAGGGAATTTATTTGGAATTGTGTAACAAATAGAGACTGAACATCTTACAGGACTGAGATTTCCCATGTGTGAACAAGACATAGTTTTCTATTTGGGGTAGAAGAGGTCATCTGTTGATGTATTTAATAAAAACGTAAAATATTTATCATACAGAGCTTATATTTTGTTATAATTATTCCCAGATTTTTGATAGGAATATTTCAAAGAACTCGGTTCTGCTTTTGCTGCTCCCATTGTCGTTCCCCCCATCTTCTATTTTATTAATTTCTGTTCTCATTACTACAATTTCTAATGTTATATTGTCTCTTGGTTTTCTTTATCATTCTTTTCTTTAGCTCTTGCATGGGATTCTTCACTGTTTACAATTTTGTTTCTATTCCAACAAGCATTTACATCTATCAATTTTCTTTTAATAATAATATCTATTCAGTTGCAAGTTACAATGGGTTTATATGTAGTGCTTTTGTTATACATTATTTTGTAATATCAATTTGATTCTTCTTTTTAAATCCAGAAATAGTTTATAAATGGTTTTCAATATGTATACTTCTGTGTTTTACAAAGTTGTGAAAATCATAAAATATCTATAGGATAAGAGATGGAGTAGGTGATAAATGGAACTTTTGGCAATCTCATAACAAGATTTCTGTGCATTACTCCATGTGATTTTTTTCCCCAAAACTTAATTAAATAGGCAAGACAGAAATGCATATTCTCGCTTGAGATCTCGTATTAGTCACGGTTCTCCAGAGAAAGAGGACTAATAGGATATATAGAGATGGAGAAGATGTGATTTGTTATGGAAACTGGTTTTCACGGTTATGGAGGCTAATTCCCACAATATGCTATCTGCATGCTAGACAGCCAGGAAAGCTGTTGGTGTAATTCAGTCCAAATCTGAAGGCCAGAGATCCAGAAGAACTGATCAGTGTTGGAATTTCCAGTCCAAGGTCGAAGGCTCGACAATTGAGTGGGGATGACATATGTCCAAGAATCAAGAACTAGGAGCAGAAGGTGAGCAGAGGATGGGCAGAAGATGGATGTCCCAGCTCAAGAAGAGAGAGCAAATTCATTCTTTCTCTCCCTTCTTGTTCTCTAGGTGAGGCCTCAAGGGATTAGATGACACTTGCCCATACTGGTGAGAGCTACTCAGTCTACTGATTCAAATGCTGATCTCTTCTGGACAGACCAAGAAAAAAAAAGTTTTCCCAGTTATTAGGGCATTCATTTACTCAGTTAAGTTGACACAATCATCACAGAGCTTTTCATGCCTTTTCTGTGACTACTGATTTAAATTTACAAAGTTAATGTAGACATAGTTTTAACAATTTGTCCATAAAAATCAGTTAGATATGGTTGTCTATTTGCAGAAGAATACTTTGTGAGGCCTGCAAATAAGTTGTCCCTTCCAGTTATGTTTCTGGGGATTTGTAACACTAATCTATATGTTTTATGTCACGTTGATCATTTAAACGGAGCCAAAAATCTGACTTCAGAACAATGATGATACAGAAAAGGGCTAAAGTACCATTAATTGGGTTTAAGGAGGAAGTCAGAAATAAAACAATTACTTGGAGGCAGTAAATTATACTGTTGTTTTTTCATGGCCAGCAAAATAAGCTTCTATGTATTTAGAAATACACCCTGAGTAAATCTCTTTTTTATGGTAAAATCATGCTGTGAATATAATCACCAAATATGAGCAGACTGAAAAACAATGTTAAGATACAGGTTGTACTAAGACATATCAAGATTAATTATTATTTGCCTAATTATATTTAGTAATTGCAGTCATATACTAGCAATACAGTGTTTAGCTAAATATCAGATTATTTGGCATTACATTGGTGATCCAGTTCCAAAACAAAGGTGAATCTCAGCACTTCACAATTTCTGCATTGTAGCTTTTGACTCCCCCCAAGAAATAAGATGTAAATTTTGGCATTTACAAAGCTATTCTGAAGTAATAAAATACAGTTACAAAAAAAAAAAAAAACAGAAAGATATCTGGGAATATTGCAAAGATGATAAAGGGAAAAAAGACTGAAGACAAACACTGAGGTAGAGAAAAAAGTCTGAGAAGACAGCACCAGATGACCCTGGTTTTGAAGGTGAGACCCCGCTGTGGAGGGTGCCACTGGATGCTCTTCTTTAACTCTCATCTCAGAAATGACTACATGGCTCCAAAATGTGATCTTATGATAATCAAATTTATTTTATAAGAAGTTTATTTTTACTTGAACATATTATATGCAAATTAGGAAACTTTTCAAATTACAGAAATGAAGAAATCATATAAAGTAGTACAATTTTCTACCTCAGAAACATAATAGCATAACAATTTTATTTTCTTAATTAACATATTTAATATTCAGCCACTTTATTAAATGAGACTGTACCATTTTTTCCCTTGAAGCCCAACTCTGGATACTTTTGTATCCACTGTCTCTGTAGTACATGTACACACACACACACACACACACACAGATACACAGAAACACACAAAAACTCACATACACATCTGCTCCAGAACTTTTAAAAAACAGTGTTGGTTTCTCCTAACAAGTTTGAAGATTCTCAGGAGAGATTTACACTTCACCACAAATATCATTCTAGAAGTCTTTATTATGCTTCTACCTCCCCAAAACTTCTACTCTTTAGAGTGGTTTCCCAAATTGCTCCTTTTTCTTTAATTTGTTATCTTTAGTCTTCTTCTCAATTTGTTTACTCCATTTCCCCTTAAAATCTCATTGCCTCAGTTTCTTCAAACTCCAACTTCTCTTTTCTTTTTATTCTATTTTTTGTTTGTTTGTTTTTGAGACGGAGTCTCGCTCTGTCGTCCAGGCAGGAGTGCAGTGGTGCGATCTCGGCTCACTGCAAGCTTCGCCTTCCAGGTCCACGTCATTCTCCTGCCTCAGCCTCCAGAGCAGCTGGGACTACAGGCACCCGCCACCATGCCCGGCTAATTTTTTGTATTTTTAGTAGAGACGGGGTTTCACTGTGTTAGCCAGGATGGTCTCGATCTCCTGACCTCGTAATCTGCCCGCCTCGGCCTCCCAAAGTGCTGGCTTTTTATTATTCTTAACTTGCTTTGACATGAAGTTTATATCATTTCAATAATGAAAATTTGGCAGCTCCTTCTCTTCCTGATTTTCTTAAATATAAGGCAAAATAAAAATAAATTGTTTCCATAATTTTGTATAAATATCTCTGCCAAATCGTCTCAGCATAAAGTCATTTAATTTCTATTCTTCCAAATCTGTGTGTGTGTGTGTGCGTGTGTCTGTCTGTCTGTCTGTCTGTATACACGCATACCACAATGGGATTATATTTTTCATAATGTTCTGCAGGCCACTTCTTCAAGAATTTTCACCTCAGTAAATTTTTTCTAAGCTAGTACCACCAAATTATTTAAATTTCCAAAATTTATCCCCCAAAAAACCCATTTCTGGTCATGAACCACATACTACATGTGATTATGTCTCTTGCATTTTGCCCAGGCTTTCATAGAACTTTACTTTCATTGTTTTGTTGAAATGACCAAGCCAGAATGTTCCACTTTCAGGAATTGGCTGGGTGCTCCATTGAGATACAATTTGTTTCTTTCATTTATTTTCTTTATTTCATATAAATATAAAGTTGAATTCATATCTTCAATGTGATAATAAAAGACTCAAATTAAAATTTTTAGATAGACTTGGTGATATTGTTTACCTAACATTTTATTGATTCTGCTATTTGTGACATTAAAATTTACCCTTTGCTTTAGTTATAAAATTTGGATTGAAATATGTGTGGTTTCTCAAGAATATCACCTATCCAGTTTTCCTTCAATCATACATCTAGTGATCTTAACACCAATTGTTAATTCTTAACTGAATGAGTATATTCATCAAGGTATGAAAATTTTTTTCTGCTGTGTTATTCCTTCTACATATATTAGTTGTCTTTCTTCTTTAAATTAGAGTTGTTCCATAATAACAGGGCTTTTCCTCACAAATAGTCTTGTATTCTATTACCAGATTGTTGATTGAATTCACTTATTATATTTACAGCCAGAGAAAAGGGAATGTTCGTAGATCTTACCAGAGTGTTAAGGGATAAAGGACATTGGTACTACAAATAACTGAAATAATTCAGAAAAAATAATTTGTAAATGCACATATTTTATCTCATGTATAAAGGAAGACATAACTGAAAATGGCTTAAAATATTAACACATGGTGAATCTGAGTAAATATTATATAGAAGTTGTCTGCACTAATTTGAAAATTTCCATAAATTTAAAATTGTACAGAAATAAAAAGTTACTTTTAAACACCTGAAATATGGGTGGTAACAGTTATAAGCAAATAAACTAAAAATAGTACATTTTTATCAAATGAAATGACAAAAGATATGTAATAATAAATTGCGTTTTTGAGCATGAGAACAACATACACTTTCCTAGACAGCTGGTGAGAGTATAAATTGCTGATGTTTTGTGAAGGTAGTTGGTTGATATGTCTTAGCCATAAAAGCATAGATAACCTTTTGAAGAATTCTGATTTAAGCAATTATTCCATAGAAAATAAGAAATATTTAAAAATATTTATAATTACTAAGTCCATTTTTATGTTACTATTTCCAGGAAAAATTTAAAATAGCCTTCATATACAATAAAAGCAAGTTAGATAAATTATATTGTACTTATACAAATAATTAATACATAGGCATATAAATGAAGTTAAAAAAATATTCGATAGCATTATTTTGGAAAAACTTAAGATAGGTTATATGAAAGTAGGCTACCAAAGACTATGTATGATGTATTTCCAAATTAGCTTGAAGCAAAAGGTACAGTTGTGCATGAGAATAAGCAATTAAAAAAAAGAAAAAGCATATATATATATATGGTAGCACAAAAATGTCCTTAGTATCCAAGCTCCAGGACTTTGCCTCTTAGTGTGTAGTTTGTGAACTCCCTCTATCAGCTTCACAGAGGACAGTAGTATAACGCTGTCCTCAAGTCTACTGAAACCAAAGCCCAGGGATGTGGCCTAGAAATCTGGATGTTTAAATAGCACTTTGATGAATTTGATAATGTGTTACTTTGCAATTTTTCTGAGAGTGAGACTCCAAAGATAGTCAAGGGTTTGGGAAGAGTAAATTTAAGCCAATTCAGTAAATTAGGTGATAAACAAAGAAGCTTGCTGTTTTTCTCTCTTTTTTTATGTTTTAAAACAATGAGTTTCTCCTTTTTTGCTCAAGCCCTGAACAATTTAGTTCAGAATTTGTTTTCTTACTTTGATTCTGCTGGCTTTGCCAATTCCATGAAAATCCACTTGGCACCACATTTCCTTAGAAGCTCTTGCTTTTTCTTGATTTTCTTTCTGTTCTTAGAGTCTAATATTCTAGTGTCTCACCAAATTGTTGTTGTCTCTTTCCAAAACTCCTTTAACCAAACTATCTGTATCTTCATGTAAAAGGCACCACAGACCTCCCATCACTCACTCTCCCTTAACCCCAAAATATCTATGTGTTATCCCTTACAGATGTCACTTCCTGCAAGGCCTTCCATATTAGTTGCTACAACATCACTAAAGAATTTTATTACCTGTGGCTCTGGACCTACTTCTAATATCTCTGGAGATATCCACCTTCAAACACCTGCCACATCCAGCTATGAGGGTCTAGTACCTGGGCTCCAGAGACATGTTCAGGTTAGTTCTGATTATAAGAACATTTCTCTTTTTTGCCAGAATTGTTGGAAAGTTATCTCTATTCAACAGTCTGTGTAGGATTTCAGAAGATTGAATATACATATAAATATATATACATACACACATGTATATATACACACACACATATATGTATATGTACTTTGTCCATGTCGTATTTGGTTATTCCAATTCTGGGAAAATAAATTAAGAAAATAATTAAAAGATGCACTCAAATATCGATATACAAAATGCCTATTGTAATAATACATAAAAAAAGTCAGAAGCTAACCTCGGTATCTGTATGATTTGGAGCAAGTTACTTAAACTCTTTGTGGCTATATTTTCTCAAATGTAAAATAAGGTTAATAATAGTGCTTATTTTAAAGGTAGTCATGAGTTTTAAATGAATTCATGTATTCAAAGTGGATAGAATAGTGCTTTCAAATAATATTTATTACCTAAAATTATTATTATCATCATATAAGTAACAAGAGATACAATGAACCATAATATGCCCATATGATAATATATCACACAGTAATCAAAATATTTTAATAGGAAATTAATATCATAAGATAAAAAGCAAGAAGAATGATGATAAGCCATTTGACTACCACTATATTTATCTATGTAACTATAACCACATACACATATTTTAAAAAATTGATTGGAATATACAAAATGGTCTTTTCATTCTCTGTGATATGTAAAATGTAGAAATATACTTTTCTGGGCTGGATGCAGTAGCTCACACCTATAATCCCAGCACTTTGGGAGGCCGAGGTTGGTGGAGCACCTGAGGTCAGGAATTCGAGACCAGCCTGGCCAACATAGTGAAATCCTGTGTCTACTAAAAATACAAAAATTAGCCAGATTTGGTGGTGGGTGCCTGTAATCCCAGCTACTCAGGAGGCTGAGGCAGGAAAATTGCTTGAACCCAGGAGGCAGAGGTTGCAGTGAGCCGAGATCCTGCCACTGCACTCCAGCCTGGGCGACAGAGTGAGACTCCATCTCAGGAAAAAAAAAAAAAAATCTATCTATCTATCTATCTATCTATCTATCTATCTATCTATCTATCTATCTATACTTATATATACTTTTCTTTGTTATCCATATTCATTTCAGAGAATGCAGTGCTATTGTAAAAAAAATGAATAAAATTAATATAAGTTTAGAGCACTTTTTTGGCATCAGTATGCCTAAGGAAAACTAATGTATAATACAGGATTAATGTTTTTCACACCATCTCAAATCTTACTGAATGCTGCTATCTAGAAAACAGTGGTAACTGAGTTACAATGGGACCTTAAAAGCAAAAAACCACTGTGACTGGCTAACTGAAAGTGATCATAGAGCCAAAACCATAATGATTGTCCTGCCCAAGCTTCAGCATATATGGTTGCAAAATGTGCGCAGTGTTAATGCCGTGTCAAGTGTCTTGTGGTATTTCATCAGTGTCGCTTACAAGGCATACTCAACATTTAACAGCAGGATCATTAACCATCCATGCTGTGATGTAATGGAATAGTGCTTCCCTACTAACCCTGAAACAAGCTCACTGTGTGTGACCTACATCCTTCCGCTGGATGAGTGTGAGAAAATGATGACACCACAGAAGCAAAGCAGCTGCTGTAAGTTGAGCCACAAGGAAGAAACTCTCAAGACAGGAAGAATAAATGCTTTAGAGGTGCACTAAAATAATGAATGAACTAATGTGGCATAGCTGTGAAATCATGCGAGGAAAAGAACTACAGGGACAGTAACAGAAGGTGGTTCTTTGAAGTAAAGACATTGAGAAGAAGAAAAATTGCCAACTTGTGTAATCAGTTGATGTTGCTAGTTAGCCAGTTTAAACATGCGTTAAAGATAAAGATCTGCTTGAAACCAATTATTTTATTGTTTGGCTTCCTGTTTAAAGATGAAAATGAAATATGTGTATATATGTGACATATTTTACCTAGCAGTGAGTAGATGCAGGAAGCATGTAAAATGCTTTGCTGAATTCACTAACGTCACAAAATATTCCTTAATAATTGCCGCGTTTGATAGGCTGACCTTATGCTAGCACAGGAAACAATGCAGTGGACTTGGGTTGGAGAGAAGAATTTTGACATTTGGATTTTTAAAAATCATGTATATTGAACCCATGAACTCTCATGTGGAACATCAGATTTACTATATTTTAAACAGAAATGCCATCACTATAAAAACCATTGCAAATTTGTCAATATACTTCCATTTAAAAAGCCTTTTCCTGCTTTTATTGATTTATTGATTAATTTTTTTTTGAGACAGGATCTCACTCTGTCACCCACGATGAAGTGCAGTGGCACAATCGTGGCTTGCAGCCTCGACCTCCTAGGCTCAGGTGATACTCTTACCTCAGCTACCTCCCAAGTAACTGGGAATGTAGGCTTGCACCACCATGTCTGACCCATTTTCTTGCAGAAATTGAGTTTTGCTATGTTGTCCAGACTTGTCTTGAACTCCCAGACTGAAGCAATCCGCCCACTTAGGCCTCCTAAAATGTTGGGATTACAGTCATGAACCACTGTGCTCCACCTCCTTTTTCTCCTTTTCAGATAGATTATGTATTCTGTACCTTTTGTGTAACTAACTTGTTATTACATAAACTATATTCTAAATACATTATAAATTATTGTGATCATGATATTTATCATTGAATTAACACTGCCTAAGTAGCAATTTTCACAGAAAAGATAATTTTAAAAGACCAAAATGGTTATTCTCTTGGAAGCAGTTGACATAAAATAACAGAATAATACAGATTAAAATTCTGTTTTCCAACAGCTACTAGTGGTAAGAAATATAGTAAGCTTCTGATTTGTAGAAACCTTAGCTTTCTCATCTGATGAGGTGGTTAATAATATTAACTCTCATATTTGCTGAAATAATATAAAATATTTAATATAAATTGTCAATTATAATGACTGGCATAAGGTAGAATTACAACAAATGCTAATTATATTTGCTTGTTTGAAAATTTAACACTCTATTAAAAGGCAAAAAAGTGCTCACCTGCAAATATTAATACATGCCTTCTGTTTAGTCCATAGAAAGCCCACAAGTAAGAGATTCAAAAGTGAAAGCTATCACTTACAGAAGATTAAGAATATATTGCATTGAGAAGATAGGGATTAAGGAGTTTATCAAAGGTTTTTTAAAAAATTATTTTCCTGAACATCATTTCAAGAAAGATAAGCGCCAAAGACATAAATATATTCTCCAGAGCATGTGCACTGCAAGTTGACAAATGTGTCTCTTTTATAGAGTTTGGTGAAGGTTATTCATTTTATTTTTCCTGTCTTGACCAGAAAATTGTGGCTTCTCATCATGTATGACTGCCTGCAGGGTCTTCTGAATAGGAAATTACCAATGCTGAAATTTGTATGACTTAAATAAGTGTTGAAGTGTGGGGGTTGAAAGGAGATACATATCAGAGACATCCATTCAGTTAATAGAACTAAGTTTTTGATTTGCATAGCTTATATCTAGAGCATTGTGTTTCTTATTTTCTATATTACTATCTTCTCTAACTATATAATTAGCACAGATTGAAGCTATAATGGATTTCAATAATAGCACTACTTTAGAATGATGTATACGTCTTTAAATCTTAAGACAAGCATAGGAAATATGTATATTCTTAAAAAAAGGAAAATTTTTTTAAAGTTTAGAGTTAAAAGAAACATGCATTTTCTGTTACATTTCAGATTATTTTAGTTAAAGAATCTTCTATGCTTTTTTTCTTCATTCTTAGAAGACTACCTGCAATTGTAAAGCATGAATCCTGTAATACTTCTGTAAATGAATCACTATTGCATTTATACCATTAGCCTCTGAACAGATTTCAAGTTGCTGCTGCCAACTCTCGCGAGCTTTGTCAGTAACAGTTGATTGTTACATTCAGTAACACTGAATGTCAGTGCAGTCCAATTTACAGGCTGGAGCAGCAGCTGCATCCTGCATTTCCCCGAAGTATTACATGATTTTCACTCCTTGCAAACTTTGCCATCTTTGTTGCAGAGAATCGGGTAAGTTGCTCTGAATTTACACCTTCGTGTAGAGATCCAAGTTACTGTAAAGCTCATTCTGTGGGATGAGAGTGATCTCTTCATGTGTTTGTTGTGTCCCTTTGGTGCTCTGTGGGGAACAGTTACTGAAGCTTGCAAATGGGACAGAGGAAGTGAGCCAGCAGGCACATGCATCAAATCTTCCTATTATTCAGGGAACGCAGACTTTGTTTATTTAACTGCTGAGAAAATAATGAATTTATTCAACTCTGTATAAAGGACCATAGCACGTGTGGAATCACTGTGATATATATTCTTAGTGAGTTTCCTAAGAAAAAACATTTCATACTGGCTTACCCTTAAATGCATTGTTTATTGAATCTCTCTGTAAAAGTAATCTTTGATTAGTCTTCCTTTTTTTTTCTTTTTAAATGGGATAAAGTTAGTAGTTAACTTACTTTTTCCTGAACAAAATACTTTTCTCAATCAACATTTTGTCACCTAAAACTTTAACAGTAACAACTGGCAAATGAGAGGTCTGTTTATTTTATGTAAATAAAAACAAAACCTGTTTTCTAATTTGATTTACAGTGATTTATGAGCGTGTCCCCTTTGCCCTTTGTGTTCACTTTTTATATGTTTGTTTAAATTGTAGCAAAATATTTTACATTTGCTATTATTTTACTATTATAGAAATAGTAAGCAAATGTACTTTCTGCTCATCCTATAATCTTGTAAAACTATTATTTTGATAACATCAGTTCCACTTTAACCAGGGAATTAAATATTAAGGATTATAAAATCTATGAATGACTAAAAGTAAACTGAAATGTGATTTCATTGTTTATGATTTCTATTTATTATATATTTTTATTTTATGAGTATGTCTTCTACATTTTTATGAATATATTTCATGATAATAAACTCAATTAGGAGCTCCTGTCACTAGTCTGTGTAATGCCTTCCTTAATATAAACTATCTCATAGTTACAATAAATACAATGACAGTTTACTTATATAAGTAGTTACTTTGTTTAAGGATAAGCGTGAGCTTTTAAAGTGTGACTTTAACATTTGAATAAAAATCTTCAGAATTTTCTCTGGATATAAAATAAAGTAGTCTTTTGGATGCCAAATAAATTTCTAATTGGGTTATCAAAGTTCTGTTTTGTTCTCCTAATTTTTTGTTGTTGTTGTTTGTTTGTATTGTCCTAGTTTTTTAATTGTAAAAATATGTTTGGGATGTATTCCATATTTCATTTTTATAAAACATAAGCTACTAATAGCTAAACAAGTCACATCTTATCTATAAATTTGGTTCCTTCTTCGAGTCATTTCTTGATAAGTATAATATATATTTACATTGAATATTATCTTCATTTCGATGGTTTCTTGCCAGCATCTGCTCATTCTTACCAAAATTAGACGGTCCCAGATGTTAAGAGAATTGTAATTGAATAGATAGCAACCTAAGAGGAGATTTAATTTTCAGAGAAGACTCAAGAAATCTCTCTAATAAATGTTCAAATTATTCACACAATGAAGTTTGCAAATGTTCTTCCTAATTGAGGACAGATAAAACATCTTAAGTTTCTTATATCTAATGTAGTGTCTTCTATATGTATACATGCCTAAAGCATAGCTGAAGAATCCCTGAAAGACAGTGATGTAGTCTATTTATAATCAGACTTCCTCAATTCCCCACTTCACTTAGTCTGCAACAAAACAAGCTTTTTAAGTTTGATATAAAGACGTCGTTGTTCCAATTTCTTCAAATACATTTAAGAGAGCTTGTTCTAGATCATATTAATATTATCTAGATGGCTCTTTCTCTACCATTTTAAGAGGGTTTATTTCCAAGTAGAAATAAATATTTATTTAATTGTAACTTTTTAAAAGATAGGGAAATTATACACAGGGAAAATATTTTGAATATTTGCTTGAACATCTTTTAAAAATTCTTGGCTTGTCCCTTATTTTGAAAATCTGGTTGATATTCAAGTATCCCAAAAAATAGCTCTTTATACAAATTATTTTATCACACTCACATCTTATAGTATAACATTTAGTATTTTTTGTTAAAATCAGCTAGGGAATATTAATAGTACTTTCAAAATTGAATTAAAAATACAAAAAAAGATTTGTCACCTTTTTTATTTGAAAGTTATTGTTATAACAGTTTAGCATTTTCAAAAATTGCCAGTAAATTTTCTTAATTCCAAACAAAAACTCAGTTCCTCAAAAACTCAAATTCCTCAAAAACTCAATTCCTCAAAAACTAGAATGGTCTGAATTCCAAACAAAAACTCCTGTCTTTATTTCCAATATTAAATACTATTTTGATAAGCAAATTGATCTAAATTCAGATACACAGCTGTATTTGTGAAAATGTGCCCCATTTTTATGATAATGTTTATGCTACTATGTTCTCTCAGAATCATGTGAGACAGTATCCAATTGCACCAGAATTTATTAAAAGAAAAACGATCAAACCTGCACGTTGTGCACATGTACCCTAAAACTTAAAGTATAATAATAATAAAATTAAAAAAAAGAAAAACGATAATGTTTTGTTGAATATCCTAATCATTAATAAAAATTTTGAGATATAGACTCAATATTTTTATTCTATTTTCATTTATTTCTCTTTCGATTGCTCAATTACATGATAAACATATCAAAATTTTTAAAGTCTTTTAATGGCAAAACTACAGAGTAGCATGTTAGAATAGATAATACCAGATTATAAAAAGGGCAAAGTGATGCTTATTTAAAAAATAAAGTACTGCAATTAAATATAAAAACATTAGCCTACAATACACTAACAGTATATGAACATCTGCATATTTTTATATTAAAGTACACATTAAATAATATGTCATATGACACTCTGCAACAATACATATGAGTTAGCATTATATTGTCATTTTTGCAATGAATGCATGCTTACAAGAATTGCTTTGATTGTTACCAATTACATTATTTGCAAGTTGATAACTCAGATATCATTATCGAAAAATTAAAGATTTTAATTCATACCATATTATTATATAACAAGACCTACTCAGCATAAAATATAAATATCAACATATAATAAATTTTGTATTAAATCAAGTTAAGTGACATGGGAAGATATTACAACCATTTAGATGTTATAGCAACTGTTTAACATAAACAATGAAACATCACATTTCATAATTACACAAAACACAAATACAGTTTTGTAGCAACTATAGTACTTGCTTTGCAATAATATAAACTGTTTGTAGAACAAGTTTGAAAACTATCAGAGACCAAAATTTATTTCAATTTGGTGTTTGGTTTCTAAAGACAAACTAATATTCAAATAAAATCAAGGAAAAAATAGATGGCTTTTGCATTAGACTTAGAAGAACATTGACTGAGCTAGGCAAGAGGGAGAATGGGTACAACCAGGGATGATGCAATTAATTTATTAAATTGCAGCTTAGAACGAACCGCCCAATCAGCTTTGCACCTTATTCACTTTTTCTTCCCAGAGGATGTTTTCAAAACAGAAAATAAAAAAAATCATACTAGCACTTTGTTTTTCTCCAGATGCTCTCCTGCATTTATTAAAGAGAAAAGGATTAGCGGTTATCAGAAAGAAAAAAGAACTGAAGCAGTAGAGTGCCTCTAAAACTTTGATTATGTCTGAAATGTTATTAGTGTCAGGTAACAGGAAACTTTAAGTCATTGTTATATTTTACTTATTTATTTACTGTGATTTATGATACAGTCATACAATACATAATGATGCTTCAATCAATAATGGTGGTCTTATACAATTATAATATAGTATTTTCACTGTACCTTTTCTCTGTTTACATACACATACAGTTACCATTTTCTAACAATTGCCTACAGTATTCAGGAACATGTTATACAGATTTGTAGCCTAGATGCAACAGCCTATACCATATAGCCTAAAGGTGTGGTAGGCTATGGCATCTAAGTTTGCGTGAGTACACTTATAATGTGTGCACAATGATTAGATCGCCTAACAATGCATTTCTTAGAATGTATCCCTGTCAATAAATGGCATATGACAAGGATACATTATATAATAGTACCTAAATTATATATAATAGTACCTAAATATCATGAATGTAGAAATGCTGCTAAAAATATATTTTAATTATGTTTTATTGATCTTAGCACACATCTAATTGTACCAAACAGAACTGAAAAAATAATAATCTTGTGGCTTGATTTTTTTAAAACCTTATTATTATAGCAGTCATTTTATATGTAAATATATATGCATATACATATGAATATTGTTAGAATTAGATATAGAAATAGATATATCCATTAAGTATCAAGCCCTGAACCAAATGCTCCAGACCATGGATTAATAAATTGAGATATTTATTGGGATAAAAAATACTTGTAGGTCACTAGATATCCTATGACCATTGGTGAATTAGGCTGATTTGAAATATGATACCCTACGTCTGGGACATAGGCATTAGAATAGTTATTTATTCTCTTTCTTTGAGAAAATCTAAATTAAATAAACAAAGACAAAACTAATACAAATGCTTAGTATTTGTAGGATTCGTTTATTGGTTGTGTAGGTTGGATTTCAGCAACCTAATTACAGCATGAGAAAAAATAAAGGGAAGGCTTTGTACATTAATGGATCTTTGTTATTATTATGTGAATGAGAATCAGTATTTGTAATTGACTATTTTAGTTATATAAACACATTAGTTCTTCTATGGCCGGGCGCGGTGGCTCATGCCTGTAATCCCAGCTCTTTGGGAGGCCGAGGTAAGTGGATCACTTGAGGTCAGGAGTTCGAGACCAGCCTGGCCAACATGGTAAAACCCCATCTCTACTAAAATACAAAAATTACCTGGGTGTGGTGCCATACACCTGTAATCCCAGCTACTTGGGAGGCTGAGGCAGAAGAATCACTTGAGCCCAGGAGGCAGAGGTTGCAGTGAGCCGAGATCACACCACTGCACTCTAGCTTGGCGACAGAGTGAGACTCCATCTCAAAAGAGACATTAGTTCATTTAAATGATATTTGCATCACATTTTGCTGTCCCTCTTTGTCACAGAGTTTCCAAATCTGATTTTTAATTTCTTTTTTATTGAAAAGAAACTCACATCTGCATTATGAATTTCTGATAAAACTTAGATCTCTTCTAATAGTCTATGTCATCCATTAAATATTATTTCATAAATGTCAAATACTTATGATTTTGTAGGTCACAAAGATTATTTTTGCTTCTGCCATGTGGCCCAATAGTTTCTAAGCTTTGATCCTCTAATTTCAGTCATTTTTTTCATTATAAAAAATGCAAATAATTCTGACTGTGCTAACACATTTAGCTTCACTAGTTGCATATACTTTAATCTGTTAACAAATTGCTATAACAAATATGAATACATATTGAGTAATACTGAGTATAAAATTCCTCTTAAGCCACAATCTTCTCCCAGACATTATAATGCTAGCCCCTGGTTCTCTCTATTGACATTATAAATCTGGTAAAGAGTCCCTCATGTTTATTAAATTTTGGAGAAATTACCTGGAATATATCCTCAGCCTTCGCTCTTTATTTTTTCCATAGCCCTTACTAGTGGTAGCATGTTTGTTAGTTTTTACAATTTGTAGAATAAATGGTGACTACCATATATTTGTTACTTAATATTCTGTGAATAAATTGTCTAAATTCTCTTCAGTTTGTATAATAGGATTGTATAGAGGAAGATGTCACTTGGCAAAAGGGACCACAGAAAAGACAAGGAAAACAGAAAAGGACAATAATGACAATCTATTGATCCTTAAAAGTTCTTAACCTACTTAACAATTCTGCCAAGAACCAGCCAGTCATGATATTTCAGAGAATATATGAACTTGTATTTTCTCCTCTTACCAAGGCAGAAATTATATCTGATGTAGGTAGACTACTGTTTACTGCTTTTTTGGTGGAGCTGTACATATAGTCAGAAGTAACATTAAATTTGGCTAGGACAAACATTCTATTTAAAATACTAGCTCTTCCTTACAAAGATTTGACAATAAATATCCCTAAAATGAATATTTTTTATTTTCCATTCCACTATTTTTTTTTCTAAATTGAAAACTAAAATATCTCTGTTTTCTATTTTTTCCTATGTAGGCCTTTACAGAAGCAGGTTTATTTGTTTTCATAATTTGTAGAATTACTAACGACTATATTTTAGGTAATTATCATCAATAAAGTATAATATGCTATATGCAGAAGGCTTATAAAACATTATACTTACCTCTCTTTCAGAAATCAATATGCATAGCAAAGTCACAATCATATGCATCAGATTTCTCTTTTGGTTTCTTTTGCTCTGCATGCTTATTGGGAAGTCACATACTGAAGATGACATCATAATTGCAACAAAGAATGGAAAAGTCAGAGGGATGAACTTGACAGTTTTTGGTGGCACGGTAACAGCCTTTCTTGGAATTCCCTATGCACAGCCACCTCTTGGTAGACTTCGATTCAAAAAGCCACAGTCTCTGACCAAGTGGTCTGATATTTGGAATGCCACAAAATATGCAAATTCTTGCTGTCAGAACATAGATCAAAGTTTTCCAGGCTTCCATGGATCAGAGATGTGGAACCCAAACACTGACCTCAGTGAAGACTGTTTATATCTAAATGTATGGATTCCAGCACCTAAACCAAAAAATGCCACTGTATTGATATGGATTTATGGTGGTGGTTTTCAAACTGGAACATCATCTTTACATGTTTATGATGGCAAGTTTCTGGCTCGGGTTGAAAGAGTTATTGTAGTGTCAATGAACTATAGGGTGGGTGCCCTAGGATTCTTAGCTTTGCCAGGAAATCCTGAGGCTCCAGGGAACATGGGTTTATTTGATCAACAGTTGGCTCTTCAGTGGGTTCAAAAAAATATAGCAGCCTTTGGTGGAAATCCTAAAAGTGTAACTCTCTTTGGAGAAAGTGCAGGAGCAGCTTCAGTTAGCCTGCATTTGCTTTCTCCTGGAAGCCATTCATTGTTCACCAGAGCCATTCTGCAAAGTGGATCCTTTAATGCTCCTTGGGCGGTAACATCTCTTTATGAAGCTAGGAACAGAACGTTGAACTTAGCTAAATTGACTGGTTGCTCTAGAGAGAATGAGACTGAAATAATCAAGTGTCTTAGAAATAAAGATCCCCAAGAAATTCTTCTGAATGAAGCATTTGTTGTCCCCTATGGGACTCCTTTGTCAGTAAACTTTGGTCCGACCGTGGATGGTGATTTTCTCACTGACATGCCAGACATATTACTTGAACTTGGACAATTTAAAAAAACCCAGATTTTGGTGGGTGTTAATAAAGATGAAGGGACAGCTTTTTTAGTCTATGGTGCTCCTGGCTTCAGCAAAGATAACAATAGTATCATAACTAGAAAAGAATTTCAGGAAGGTTTAAAAATATTTTTTCCAGGAGTGAGTGAGTTTGGAAAGGAATCCATCCTTTTTCATTACACAGACTGGGTAGATGATCAGAGACCTGAAAACTACCGTGAGGCCTTGGGTGATGTTGTTGGGGATTATAATTTCATATGCCCTGCCTTGGAGTTCACCAAGAAGTTCTCAGAATGGGGAAATAATGCCTTTTTCTACTATTTTGAACACCGATCCTCCAAACTTCCGTGGCCAGAATGGATGGGAGTGATGCATGGCTATGAAATTGAATTTGTCTTTGGTTTACCTCTGGAAAGAAGAGATAATTACACAAAAGCCGAGGAAATTTTGAGTAGATCCATAGTGAAACGGTGGGCAAATTTTGCAAAATATGGGTAAGTGCTGATTTTTGTCATTGTTCTCTGGCTTGGTTTGATCCGTTTTGCTTAGCTTTGCTTGGTCTCTGGGGTAGACTTTAGTATAAAGACACAGAAATGTTTTAATTATTTGTTCTATTTGTACCAAAGCTGGTTTTATTTTTTCTTATGAACTGCATTTCAACTCCCTGTGTCAGAGTGTTTAAATCATCATCTTAGAAATTTTATAAAAAATATCTTCTGATTTCATCTCCAAAATATTTCAAAGTATTTCAACAATGTTAGCCAAAGTTTTTATAGAAAAAGATGCTTAGTTGGAGAACTAAAATTAATGTGAGAATACTTTTTAACCTGCAAGTTTACAATGTTCACAGATTTACGTCAGAGTAGGACTATTTCTTCCCAAGCTCTTCAGCTTGGTACCATGATACCTGATACATGAAGTAATGTATCTCTGCTTAGGAAATTGAAGGGACATGATGGTGATGCAGTTGGCCCTCAGTTTACCCAAAATATACATTTGCCATTGTATTGTTTGGTTTTTCTTTTTTTCCTAATAGGCCTGATCAGATTTGAGGCAGCCTGTGTTTGACTGGGGCCATGAGGTTTTAGCTAAGCCGTTCTCCACCTGAGCAGTCTTATGGCTGACATTAGATAATCAGAGACATTACAAAAAACATATTTCCCCCATATATTATAAGTATTGTGATAGTATGTCCAAAAGAGTCAGAAAAAATAACCATTTAGAATATATTTTCTAAATATGTATGTGTATCTATAGAAAATAAAGTAGTTTTTTTTTCTCCCACTACATTTGTAAACCAAAACCACATTTTATACATGGGAGTAAATTGCACCAATGTGAATAATTTAAAAAAAATAGAAATTTAGAAATTTACTTATACAAGAAATGTTTACATAAATCATAAGTTGATTGATTCAGTAATTCAGTCTATCACACTATCTTTTATAACTAAACAAAATGCCGATAGTTACATTATTGCTTTCTGGTGTTCTTTTCCACCCTCCATTTGGAATTCTTTGTATTTCATGTTACTGTATGTATGTTTCTACAATATCAGTTGTACAATTCTTTTCAAAATGGTTTAATACTTATTCACTGTGGATAAAGTTATAATTCTTCCACCTAGCATTAAAAGGCCTCTGTAATCTTGCTGCAACTCACATTACTCAGTAACACCAGGTTCTGGGTAAGCCAGTTATCTCACTAATACCAAAGATTCTGAGTTTAACTGCACCTTAGAACTTTCTTCTCTCAATGTGCCCTGTTTAGAACACCTACCTCTTTCCTCTTTAATGACAAAGTCCTACTTTTTTAAGGTCTTAATCTACTACACATCTCATGCAACATTTCTTTAATTCCTAGAGTTGCAATTGCTTCAGACTTCTTGTTCACTCTCACAGAAGTTGACTGTAACTTGTCTATTTCCTCTTTCATTGTAAGCTGTTCTTCCTCAACCATACTAAACTACGTTCTTGAAACAGAACCTGTGGTTTTGATTTGATATTCATTGAAGTACTATGATGGGTATGTATCATATTTAACAAATATTTGGCTAATGATTGAATGAGAGCTGGTAAAAGATAGTATGAGTAAAAAATATTATATTGCCTTTTCAAGATATGTGGGTTATTATATTACCCGTAGCTGTAAAATATTTTATTCCTTCTCAACATCAGCATAAATTTCTGCTCAAGGAAAGAACGATCAGCTTATTTTTAGAGGTGTATTAGAATTACTTATATCTCATTCTGCTCTCTCCCTCAAGACTTTATCCATATTACATCATTTATATATGTTTTTAATTCTTTCTTTAAATTCTAGGAACTGTAAATCATTTAAGGATTTAAGGATGATTTTTGAAATTATTGAAACCTAAACTTTTCAAAGGACTTCATTTTTTTGCATGTTGCAATCATTGAGGAATTTATATTTTCTCATTTCACAATGGAGAACACAAAGAATCAGATGTGTTAAATGCCTTGTTTATGGCACCCATATAACAGACCAAAGAAGAAAATCTTTGACACTTAATAGGATTATTTAATACTTAATTATTTAATTATTAATTAATTAATAAGGTTATTTAATATTAACCTTATAATGGGAAATAAATAAAAATTGACATTTTAATAATAATAATACATATATGTCATGGAGATCATAAGCTATAAAGAGTTAAACTGTAAAGTAGTGTGGCAATAACAAGATGTTATTTTAGTAATTTTATTTGCAGACGATATTTGCACAGTTGAACAGAGATAATAACATTATATATTTGTGTTAAGGGTTGATTTGATGTCAAGCATAATGTTAATATCCTGATGTTCGTTATCTACTTTCAAAGTATACATGCGAATTAATATAGAAGCTTTGAATAATTAAGTGAACGGCAGTGGAAACAAAGTTGATAACTGTTAGGTCTGGAAATCTATCCACATCTTTCTGACCACAGACTTGATGTCCCAAATCTGTAATTTCCAAGGGCAAAGACTTTCCTCCTAGGCCCCTTTCTTTCTACCCACCAATGACATTTAACAATGTCTGGAGCCCTTTTTGAGTGTCAGTACTAGGGAAACAGATGATACCAGCAAGGTAAAGGCCCAGCATGCTGCTAAACACCCTGTAATGCACACGGCGGCATTCCACAATGATATAATTATTCATTCCAAAATGTAAATAATGCCAAGGTTGAGAAACTCTTCTAGTCTCTACTTCCTCAGAAC